>NC_000001.11:68947774-69250804 GCF_000001405.40 Homo sapiens | reverse complement strand
AATGAACAGTGGTTGAGCTCTGGGAGTCATAGAAAGCTTTCTTGAGGTAGTAACTCATAGGCTCAATCTTCAAAAATTAGCAAGAGTTCATTGTTCAACAAAGAGACATTATGGCATGTTGGACAAAGGGAATGAGAAATGCAAAATGTTGCATGTATGAAGGAGCTTGGAGTTCTTGGGTGATTGTGGGAAGCATAATATGCTTGGGGCACAAGTTGTGTGACAATGTGTGTATGTGGGAGGCAGCTTGGGAAAGTGAGAGTAGAGGAAAAGAATGAGACCAAATTCAGAGTGACAACTATTCTGAGATATTTTCAGTTAAAATTTTTCCAACTGGCTCTCAGTAAAGCTAAATTTCCATCTATCCTTATTCCTAACACACTCTTTAATTCTGTTTAGGGAAGAGGAGAAGAACGATTAAAAGGAATGTACACTGCAGATGCACAATAAATGCCAACATATTTAATTGATCAGGAACTAGAAGGGCAAACTGAATAATGCAATACAGTCTGGGAAGTTTTGTCTTAAGCAGAGTCTTTTCATAGTTTTAAACATGATGATCTTATCACTTGCCTTAGTCAAGTTTCGGTGTTCATTACTTGTTTTTATTTAGACTGAAATAGTGGCCTATGATCCCACAACAAGTACACAGTTGAGACTGAGATTACTATTTGGGAGATTTTTGTCATCCACTAATCTGAGTTACATTAGGAGAGCTTATTCCTAAACCCTCCATACTTTTAGCCCCATCCCTCATTTTTCCCAGCAGGTTAGTAGGAAAAGCAAGTAGAGCCTTCAGTCCGTGATTTTGTTTCAAGTGGAGCTCACCTAGTCCAATAGTCCTAAATGTGAGGGATTCCCTTTCTTTCTGCCCTCTTTTCCTCAGGCCAGTATGTTGCTGATAAAGAGCAAGGGAGTTCTGGTCGGGCGTGGTGGCTCTCGCCTGTAATCCCAGCACTTTGGGAGGCCAAGGCAGGAGGATCACGAGGTCAGGAGATTGAAACTATCCTGGCTGACACGGTGAAACCCCGTTTCTACTAAAAATACAAAAAAATTAGTCGGGCGTGGCGGCGGGCACCTGTAGTCCCAGCTACTCGGGAGGCTGAGGCAGGAGCATGGCATGAACCCGGGAGGCGGAGCTTGCAGTGAGCCGAGATGGCATCACTGCACTCCAGCCTGGGCGACAGAGTAAGGGAGTTCTCCAAAAATTTAGATTTCCGTCTGTTTGTTTATTCAGGGATCTAAACTAGAGTGCAGGAACAATGAGGAATTCCACTGTTACCACACATCTAAGCCATGTTCTCCATGCTGTTACCTTCTCATACTCATAGTTTGATCTCTTTCTGCCTAGCTCTCATGTCTGTCTCTGGATTGTTTCAAATCCTAAGAGAAAAGGAATATCATTTATTGCCTCTTGCAAAGTAAATACTCCTCTATTTAACTGACGGGATGAACCAATGATGTCATTTAACAGTTTGTTTGTTGGTGATCTCTACTGCTGAAATCTCATTAACATACACATTTACTCCTTTGATCTTCACGATAATCCCATGGAATTGGCAAGTAAAAGGCATTATTGACATTTTACAGGTAAGATTGTTTCTCAAATGATGGAGTAGCTCTCTCAGCCTATTTAGCTCTCCGGAACTCGGTGAAGTCCTGGATTCACAGTGCCACAATAATAATACAGTAGTAGGATTCTAATATTGGAATTACAGGGGCATTGGCATGGAAAAGGGTGGCTTTATGTCTTTGCTCTGGCCCTTCCTCATTAGATTCTTAGGTCAATTACTTCAGCTCTTTGGGCACAAGTCTCCTACTCTGTAACATCGAGATAACAATCACTATCTCTGAGAGTTGTGTAGATTAAGTAAGAAAACATATAAACAGCAGTACCCCTCTAACATCATTATTGTTTAGTAACAAAGGTCAATGGGAAGTACAGTGTGCAAATGAAGGGAAATGGAGATTCAGATATTTATTCCAATGCCTTGCCATGGCCCTCAAATTCAGATTCCTAGAAACAAATTTTTACCTACACCCATATGTGCTTGCATTTCAAGGATTCATTAGGTCTGATCATCTGCTATTAATGCCAAAAAGCTGCTTGAGCTTGGTTGCTTTACAGTCTCTCTTTATAGCTTTGTAAGGTTAGGAAAAAAATCCCTGAAATATCATTGTGGGGCCATATTTATAAATTGTCACAGGTGTTGCTGGACCACTGTGAGCACTCAAATTTATTTTTACAGTCATGCTCACTTTCATGTAACTTTGGGTCTTTCATTTCGTCAATTAATGACTGTAGTAAAATAATGTGGAAAATCACATAACACCAATATTCCAATAAAATAATTTGTTAATGTTTAATGTAACAGTAACATTGCTTTAGAAAATATCTAGCAAATGTATTGAACATACATATCCACACCTTCTTCCCAAGAAGGGATTTTGTTGTTCATTATCGTGTTAATGAAACAGTTAAGTTAAAACAGGGGGTCAGATTTAGTTTTTCTTTCCTATATATAAAAATAGTCATGTAATTTGCCCCTCTGTCATCAAAAGTAAATGTATTAAGGGAATCAATGGTAAACATTTTCCAGTGTTATCTTCAGCTTCGTTCTTGCTTGCTGTCTGAAAGGAGCTGTTGCTGGGGGAGGTGTATAGTATACCTTCAAGAATGTTCCTACTTTTGACACTTAGGGTAACTTCAAGAACAGGAGCTTGGAAAATCTAAATTACTCATCTCTATTCTGTATGATTATTGCTGTCATTCAGTTGAATGAAATTAAACTTGCCACTTGCATCATCACACAGAACCAAATTATAGAACATGTTTTTTAATAATGTTATTTCATTTAATTAAAGAGTAAATGGAATTCTGCTTTGCTTCAATTATTTGATATAAAATATACAACATTGAATAAAAGGGAAAGCATTAAGTTTCTGCGAGAAATTCAGTAAATAAAATTAAAATTGGAAAGAGGCACTACCCTTAGATTCTATTTATGCAACTATTCTTTTCATTTTACTTACCAAAAAGGCTCACCAAAACCTAGAATTTTCCCACTCCTACTGCCTTGCTAAATTTTGGCCTTGTGTTATGTTTTCATGGTGGTGGGGGAATCTTCTTTTGAAATACTTTTGTTTTTGGAGAGAAGGATGAATAATTTCTAACACAGAGAAAACAATCAGGCAGCCTGGGGCAGATCTTCCTCTTGGTTCTCACACTTTTTTCATGGTACCAATTTTTTAAATGTGTAAATTTCACTTGAAAATTGGGATGAGTGGGTTGTCTTGAAAAGAAATAAAATCTGGTCACACTGAACCCACATTTCTGCATGATCAACCTCAGCAGAAGCTGGGACATGTGAACTCCAACTGCCTAAGTCCCCACCAGGCTCTATTGTCTTTCCATGCCTGCCAGACTGCTTGACTCAGTTAAGATGCTGGAATGACTCCTAAAGGCATGTATGTATACATTTGTAAATTAAAAAATTTATTAATTTTTAAACAGCAGAAGAATGCTTAAAAGGGAGGGAGAGGCAGCCTCCAAGTCTACCTCTGATTACTTTAAAAATGTTCCTAGAATAGGTGTGATCTTAGGCAATTTTCTCATTTGTAAAACCAGATATAATATTTGTAATTCCTATCTTTTGTGGTTTTATGACAATCACTAAGATGCTGCATATAAAATATTTAGCATAATGACTGGTACTCATAGGTGTGCAATAAATGTTAGCTATAAGTGTTTTATGACAGCAAAATAGATGTAGTTTTAAAAATTGACTTTGAGTTTCTCTGAGTAGCAGATGCCCTGTTTCAGGATCTTTGATTTTCAGTTGCACTGTTCCCATTGAATACACTGGGATAATTGCCAGTAGACATGCTGCCTCTGTCAGTCTGGGTGAGATCACTTGGTCTTGAGCTTCGCGCAGGGTAATGAGTGTATTAGGAAAAACTGAAGCAAACATGTGGGTGGATATTTCTTGTCAGAGCTTTGATTTGGATTCCTTGCAGAACAACAGAAATATTCATTATATTTTCATTTCTCAAATGCAAAGAATAGCAGAGTTTCAAAAACAGGAGAGTGAGGCACTACCCTAAAGGAAGTTGTTTTAACACATTTAAAGCAGTCTCTAGGAATCAAGGCATCACAGATATTTTCCTATTATTTCTCCTGCTCATTATTTGGCATCTTTATTTGTTTTGATCCCTTCCTACAGACTTGCCAATGTTAATTTGCTGCAAATGTGATTTTTGGACCAGCAAAGGGTCTGCAGCTCATGCAGAGCATAGTAGATCATTAAATAGATTTCTGATTTACTGCCCTTAATATCTTCTTCAGGAACAGCAATAGAAGCTTGTGGTTGGGGGCGGAGGATCTCTGATTACAATCATGGGTAGAGAAATGGTTTCTTCTGATATTTTTCTTTCAGAGAGACTAAGCAAAACTGCCATACAGTTTAACAGTACCCTTCTTAACTCACTGCAGGTTGCCATGGAAACAGGAATCTCACCTCAACATGAAAGGCATTTAGGAAATCTGTTAGGTTTTAACATTAGCATGATCTAAGCATCCTTGCTCACCACTAACAAGTCTAGCATCTCTTTTAGAATATCATTAATACTCATTAAATTTCCCTGCACATGGTTTTGGAGGTCTTCATATCATATTTGATGTTTTTTTAAATTTTTTTGTGAGTGACCATCTTATCAGAGAATATGCATTTTGAGAACTATACTTAGCTCATCTAGCACATGAAATAAGACTCACTTTTACTTACACTGTTATTTTCACATGATCTAGATTTAGATTTTAATAGAGAATAGCATGATTCCAATGGCAATTAAGAAAATGTGCTAATACTTGGGAAATTTATTTATAAGAAAGAAGAACCAAGTGGGAATTTTTGTTCTGTAAACAAAGTTTAATATAAAATGCCCCTATTGTTACTTGTTTGTGCAGGGTAACTTTTAGGTTAGCTCTCATATATGAGTTTAGTTTTGCCAAGTAATTTAATTTTAGCATTTGTTTTCTAAGACAGTCTACTTAGGAATCTTAAAACACTTAAAAATCTTTTAAGATTATGTTTCTGGCAAAATCAGTTCGACTTTTTGGTTTGTTGAACTATAAAATGTGATTCAAGAGCCACTAATTTGCTTAAAGCAACTATAGTAATGGCTAAATCACCATTTTCTTCTATTTTACAAAAGAAGGAAAATGTAGGTGTACTTTTAGGGAAAAAATGAGAGAAGATCTATAAATTATGACTCAAAATCTTCCTTTTTTAAAAATGTGAAACGAAAGAAGTCACTTGTTGAGCAGTCAATCTTCTCCAGTTGACCGTGACTTCCCAAATTGGTATATTTCTTCCCCTGATTGAAAAATTTATAGTGGCTCTCAATGCTTATTCCTGGCATAGAGCAAGTGGTAAGTTGTGATGAACACAGACTTTGGAATGAGAAAGCCCAAGTTTAATTCTCAACTCCATTGCTTGCCAATTGGGTGAAATTTCACAAGATACTTTAAGCCCCCTGCACCTCTTTTCATCAAAAGTTGTTATAAGAATTAAGTTAGACAATGCATGTGCCGCACTTAGACTTCTGCTATAAGGCACACATACTGGCACATAATACATCCTCAGTGAATCCAATTACAAGTAGTATTATTATATTAATTTTATAGCTTGGATAATTCAACAGCACTGGTAAGCCAGTATTTCTCTTTTTACTAAAATCAAGTCTCTTAGCAGAACAGCCAACCAGGTATAAATTGGGCTGCTTGTAGCTCTCCTTCTTCTTGAGCTTGTTGTTTACCTTTGGAAAAAGTGGATTAGTAATAAAATGTCCAAAACCCAGAGAACAGATAAGAGAATAAAATATTAAGAAAAAGCACAAACCGGAAACTTGATTTTTAGGTGGGATATTGAAAAAAACCAACCAACCAGTCATTTCTAGTTGAGAAGAGTCAGAGTATGTCTATAAGCAGTTCGTTCATTGGCTTGTGTAGCTTTGGGACCATAATCAATTAGTGCATAATAAATTATTTATCACGAGCAGATCCAGAGTCCTATAGGATTATTCTAATTTGGTGTTTAATTTCTTTTACGTTGAGGTTTGAAGATAAAATGAAGTATATCCCTTTCCAACCCACCTCGAATCAAAAGGGAATAAAGAAAGTAGTAATCAGATGGAGACAAAAAGTCAGTTTAATTAATGACTTAATTAGCTCTTAAGAATGTTGTTTGGGGTAACAGTGAGATTTTTAAAACTGTACCCCATTATTAGGCAAATATAAACACCCAGTCCTGGGCAGCACTGGAAGAGAGCAGCCTTCTCTCCCCAGGGGAAGAGATTACCAGTATAAAACTCACAGCAGGAATGAGAAGAACAGAAAGCCTGCTCACAGCAGGCAGGCGGCTTCCAAGGGCAAAGAAAGGAGAGAGCAACTGAGATGTCTAAGGCCAGTACCTGCTCTGGCCAGCAGCAGAGAGGAGCATGTATTCTTTGGAGACAAGCAAATGAAAAACTAAAGAAGCTATAAGAGAAGGGTCAAGCCATGCATTCTCAGCTTATTTCCCTAAGTACCAATCAGATAAAGAGGTAGTAAGAGAGGCCAGGAAGTCTTACTCCAATGGATGGTAGTCTACCTTAGTGTGAAATAAGTGTGCTGGTTTGCTAGGGTTATCATGATAAAATACCCAACTGGGTGGCGTAAACAAAAGTAATATGTTTTGTCACAGTTCTGGAAGCTAGAAGTACAAGATCAAGGTATTGGCATGTTTTGTTTCTTCTGTGGCCTCTCTCTTTGGCTTGTGGGTGGCCACCTTGTCCTTTGTCCTAATGTAGTCTTGGTGTTTCTTCTGTGTGTTTGCACAGCCCCAGTCACTCTCTCTCTCTCTCTTTCTGTGCATGTTCAAATTTTCTCTAATAAGGACACCATTCAGATTGCATTAGGGCCCACTCTAACGGCCTCACTTAACTTAATCACCTCTTAAAGGCCCTATCTTTAAATACAGTCACATTTTAAGATACCAGAGGTCAGGGCTTCACTATATAATTTTTGAGGGGATACAGTTTAGCTCATAACAATATGTTCACCTTAACAGCACAGTAATACCTATAGATTTTTCATTGCAATTAACACTTTGCTAACTTATTTATTTTCATTTATTCATTTTTTCACTTTAAAAAATCTTGCCTCTTAGCTTTTTCAGGAGTTAAGCTGCCTTCGCAATGAGGATCAAACCTGCAGCTTACAGCTTATAGACTCGATGTATGTAAGCAAAATGGGGAATTGCCAAGTCTACCTTAAAATGGCCATTTGCCATACAGTTACTTGATAGACCCATTAAATTCCAGTAAATTCAAAATGTTCCAATGTGGCTAATTATTCCAGAAATGCCAATAAAAATGAAATGTGATGTTCCCCACCCTGTGTCCAAGTGTTCTCATTGTGCAATTCCCACCTATGAGTGAGAACATGCGGTGTTTGGTTTTCTGTCCTTGTGATAGTTTGCTCAGAATGATGGATTCCAGCTTCATCCATGTTAAAAAAATTATTTTTTTAAATTATAAGAATTATATTTTATCAAAGATTTGTTTTGTTATAGTTCTATGTGATGTGGGGTTCTAAAGTCCCATAAAATTATTCTTCTGGAGAACAGCTTGTTTTAATAAAGCTGAACACTATTAGAGAGTAAGAATAAAGATAAAGCCTGTTACCTTTCGCACAAATAACTATGAATGAAAAGAAATTAAGTGAAGCTATGAAGAAAAATCATTTGTTCTTTCACAGCATCTTTGTATGGAGACATCAAGAACTTTATAAATGCTCATTAGTTATGTGATGCGCTGCACCTTGAAAATTCCCTCTTGTCTTAGTGCATTTTGTGCTGCTATATCAGAATAGACAGACTGGATAATTTATAAAGAAGAGAGATTTCTTACAGTTCTGGAGGCTGGAAGTCCAAGGTGGAGGGACCCACAACTGGCAAAAGTTTTTCATGCTGTGTCATCCCATAGCGGAAGGCAGAAGTACAAGAGAGCTCAAGAGAGCAAGGGGTGGGAGGTTATCTTGCTTTTACAACAAACCCACTCCAGTGATAATCACATAAATCCATTCATGAGGGCAGATTCCTCATGAATCTAATCACCTTTGAAAGGCCCTGCCCTCAAAACTGTTGCATTGGGGATTAAGCTTCCAATTCATGAACTTTGGAGGACATATTCAAACCATAGTGCCCTGTATTCAAATCTAAAATCTTTGGATCTTGCAACCAGACCGTGGAACAAAGAGAATGAAATAGAAGCTTTTTCAAGGATATTTAGATCCATGTGTAGGCACCTATGTTCTGCTCACCCTTTGAATATGCTACATAAATTGGGAAGAATTAGGACCAGGTCTTCCCCAGACTTCTGGATCATACTTCAATGCATAATTAGATAATAGGGAAAATTGAATTAAGAAAAAAAATTCAGCCCTTGTGGTTTTGTGTTAAAATTACTGATAGGCCTGGGGCGGTGGCTCATGCCTGTAATCTCAGCACTTTGGGAGGCCGAGGCGGGTGGAACACCTGAGGTCAGGAGTTCGAGACCAGCCTGGCTAACACGATGATGCCATATCTCTACTAATAATACAAAAAATTAGCCAGGTGTGGTAGTGGGTGTGTGTAAACCCAGCTACTCGGTAGGCTGAGGCAGGAGAATTGCTTGAACCCAGGAGGTGGAGGTTGCAGTGAGCTGAGGTTGTGCCATTGCAATCCAGCCTGGACAACAAGAGTGCAACTCTGTCCCCCCAAAAAAAAAAATTACTGATATTAATATCAAGAACTAAGATTAATTGAATCCTAATTCTATTAACAGCACTGCTAAAACATTTGAAATTTCATTATTTTAAGCTGCTCTTGCACATAACTACCATGGCACTCTGCAAAGGGCTGACAAAAAACTAAAACATGGAATGAAACATGGTGTCTGGCCCCATGGTGCTTATAGTCACTGGAAAAGTAGACATTAACAACTATATAACAGCTATAGTACTTGCTCACGAAGTCAAAGTTAGTTATTGAAGAGAAGCACAGCAAGCAAAGGCTCACTGTGTCTGGATAATCAAGGAAAGCTTCACAGAGGAGAAGGCAGTTAGCCTGGATGGTGAAGGATGAGAATTTTATAGCAAAATATTTTCTAAAAGATTGAGGCAGAACATAAGAGAAGGACTGCTTAGAAGAAATATATATGATGAAATATAATGAGTGGAATGTTGGAGGTGAAAAAACAGATTTTTTTTGTTTTGTTTTTGAGACAGAGTCTCGCTCTGTCGCCCAGGCTGGAGTGCGGTGGCGCGATCTCGGCTCACTGCAAGCTCCGCCTCCCGGGTTCACGCCATTCTCCTGCCTCAGCCTCCGGAGTAGCTGGGACTACAGGCGCCCGCCATCAAGCCCGGCTAATTTTTTTTTTTGTATTTTTAGTAGAGATGGGGTTTCACCATGTTAGCCAGGATGGTCTCGATCTCCTGACCTCGTGATCCGCCTGCCTCGGCCTCCCAAAGTGCTAGGATTACAGACGTGAGCCACTGCGCCCGGCCGGAAAAAAACGTTTGATGTTAGATAATGGAGGGCTTTCATAAAGTTTTTGAGAAATGGGAGAAATAACCTGATTTTTGCAACTGGAAGACGTCTGCAAGCATGGGGAGAGTGGCATGGGGATAGGAAAGCAAGTGGTGAACAACTTTTCCTGTGAAAACATCTACTCGCCAATCTTAGATTTTTCAAGGGCAGCCTGAACATTATGTCCTTTCCCAAGCTAATTTATTTTTATGTACCCAAGAGCTTTGAACATGTAGTCACTTGAATGTAACATCCTCACACATTCCCTCTCCCTTTGAACAGCATAATGTAATCATAACAGGAAAAATTCTAATTTGTTTCACCAACAAAAAAATCTAAATTCTTCCTAGTGTATTCTGTTAACATTTATATGCACTTACCTTAAGTTTGTGCTATCTGTTAACTTTAGCATCTTGTCTTCTGTTGTCTTGCCAGACTGTGAACAAGATGCCACCCCCAAATGATGTAGTCAATGGTAAGTAAGCCTTCTTGCCTCTACTTTATAAAATCTTCTCTTTTTTCCTTTGTTTGAATACTATTATTGACATCTCTTGTTTCATCATGCTGGTCATTACATCTTTGACCCACATGCCGTTAAAAGTGCAGCCAAGAGTTGGCTCAAAGCCGTTCTCAGATGTTTGAGAGAACTCAGAAATGATCTCAATCAGATCGCGTGGCATCACAGAGGCTTTTCCTCCACTTATTGGCTAATGAACCTGAGTAGGGATTTTAGCTTCATCCTAGGAATTCTTTCTTTTGAACAAATTCATGATGTTTGTTGATTACTGTTGCTGAAGTAAATTAAAGTACCTGACTTTTTTGTTTTTAATTTCAACTTTAGTTTTAGATACAAGGGGTATATGTGCAGGTTTGCCACATGGGTATATCGCATCAAGGTAGTGAGCATAGTACCCAATAGGTAGTTTTTCAACCCATGTCATCCCTGCCTCCCGCCTCTAGCAGTCTGTAGTGTCTCTTGTTCCTGTTAATGTCCATGTGTGCTCAATGTTTAGCTCTCACTTATAAGTGAGAACATGCAGTATTTGGTTTTCTGTTCCTTTTTTAATTCACTTAGGATATGGCCTGCAGCTCCATCTATGTTGCTGCAAAGGACATGATTTCATTCTTTTCTTATGGTTGTGTAGTACTCTATAATATATACTAATATGTGCCACATTTTCTTTATCCAATTCCCCATTGATGGGTACCTAGTCTTTGCTATTGTGAATAGTGTGACAAGAAACTTAGGAGCAGGCATCTTTTTGGTGTAACGATCTATTTTCCTTTGGGTATATACCCAGTAATGAGATTGCTGCGTTAAGTTATTTGAGAAATCTCCAAATTGCTTTCCACAGTGGCTGAACTAATTTACATTCCCACTAACAATGTATGAGTGTTCTCTTTTTTCCACATCCTCACCAGCATCTGTTGTTTTTTACTTTTTAATAATAACCATTCTGACTGGTATGAGATGGTATCTCATTGTGGTTGATTTGCATTTCTCTGTTGATTAGTGATAATAAGCATTAGACCCTTACCTTTCACCATTTACAAAAATTAACTCAAGATGAATTAAAGATTTAAACATAAGACTCAAACTATAAAAATCCTAAAAGAAAACCTAGAAAACACCCTCCTCAACACTGGGCTTGGCAAAGAATCTTTGGCTAAGTCCTCAAAAGCAACTGCAACAAAAACAAAAATTGATAAGTGGGGCCAACTAAAGATGTTCTGTACAGCAAAAGAAATTATCAACACAATAAACAGCCTACAGAAAAGCCGAAAATATTTACAAACTATGCATCTGACAAATGTCTAATACCCAGAATCTATAAGGAACTTAAATCAACAAGCAAAAAATAAATAACCTTGGCTGGGCGTGTTGGCTCACACCTGTAATCCCAGCACTTTGGGAGGCCGAGGCGGACGGGTCAAGAGGTCAGGAGACTGAGACCATCCTGGCCAACATAGTGAAACCCCGTCTCTACTAAAAATATAAAAATTAGCTGGGCCTGGTGGCACATGCCTGTAATCCCAGCTACTCGGGAGGCTGAGGCAGGAGAATAGATTGAACTAGGGAGTCAGAGGTTGCAGTGGGCCGAGATTGCACCACTGCACTCCAACCTGGTGACAGAGTGAGACTCCATCTCAAAATAATAATAATAATAATAATAATAATAATAATAATAATAATAATAATAATACACCTGCAATCCCAGCACTTTGGGAGGCTGAGGCAGGCAGATCATGAGGTCAGGAGATCAAGACCATCCTGGCTAACACGTGAAACCCTGTCTCTACTAAAAATACAAAAAATTAGCTGGGTGTGGTGGCGGGCACCTGTAGTCCCAGCTACTCGGGAGGCTGAGGTAGGAGAATGGCGTGAACCTGGGAGGCAGAGCTTGCAGTGAGCCGAGATCACACCACTGCACTCCAGCCTGGGCAACAGAGTGAGACTGTGTCTCCAAAAAAATAATAATAATAATAAAAAATTTAAAAATGGGCAAAGGACATGAACCAACACTTCTCAAAAGAAGACATTCAAACAGCTTACACACATGAGAAAACATTGTGTTTTTTACATGTATTGACAAATCATAATTTTTGATTGGTCTTTACCCAATGATGACATTAAAATGTATGGAATTCTTAGTGTATTGCCTCTGGTATACCAAAATACGTAACTGACTTCCCCACTTAGATGTCTCACTGGTATCTGAAACTTAACATGTCCCAACACAACTTCTGTTGCTTCCAACCGCCGTCTTCTCCATTTCATTAAATGGAACCACCATTCACCTACTTGACCAAAGCTTACACTTAGGAATCATTCTATGCTCCTTTTTTTCCCCCATACTTTAAATGCAATCTGTCACCAAGTCAAGTCAGTTTTATTCTTAAAATATATTTTAAATTTAACCTCTTGCTACCACCTTCATTGCTACTTGCCAAGTAAAAACAACCTGGATTGCTTCAGAATCCTTCCAGTTAATGTCTCTGCTTTTAATCTTGTTCCCTCCATTTATTCTCAATACAGAAGCAAAGGAATTCAGCTTTTAAACATGTAAATCAGATCATATTCTGATTGCTCAAAATCTCCCAATGCTCCAATACCTTCCTGTTGCAGTCAGAAAAATATATCAGCTTCATTCCATGCTGCACATCTAGGGCCCATCACCCTCTCCCAAATATCTGGGCAAACTAATTAGGAAGCTCAGCTGCTCTCTCCTTTGATGCAGGTAAAACATTCAAATCAAGATCTTTGCCCCAGCCCCAAGCGTAACCACAATTTAAAACTCCAAGCCAGTCTCCTTTTCTTGTTCTGTGAAGCCAATTGTGGGCCAGCTTGGGAAGTCTACCCTGCTCTCTCAAAAAAACCTTATTATATAAGTAATAAATCTATTCATATTCTCTTGGTGTGTGTGTGTGTGTGTGTGTGTGTGTGTGTTCACCATCGGTCTTGACATCCAAAGCAAATTTGGGTGTGGATTCATCCTGCTTTTGTAAAATGACTATCTAACAATGAAGGAATGAATAAATGATTCTTTCTGTGTGCTTTGTCTTCTAAAACTATTCCAAAATAAACTGTTCTCTAATCCATTATTTTTTAACATGTTCTTTGTATGTTTGTTCTCTTGTATGCCCTATGAAGGTTCTGTTAGTATCTGTACATCTATCTATGTATCTATGTATCTATGTATCTATCTATCTATCTATCTATCTATCTATCTATCTTCTCTTTTTCCTCATCAACTTGGAGTTATCATACTTGCCTCATTTACTTTTGGTGCTGTGTATAACTTTCACTCCAATTTCTTCATAATTAAAATTAATGGGAGGACCCCCATAATTTCTGCTTAAATGTTTAGAGTTTGGGGCTTATTACTTCTGCAAGTTTTTTTTTACATCATTTATCACCAAGTATTACCACTCCTGGATATTTTGAATGGAGAGAGAATCTTCTTTCCTATTTATCAACCTGCTTGCTATTAAGAACAATTTATCTGTTCTAATGGGAATTTGATCTCCTTGTATTTATCTCTGTCAAATTTTCCAGCTTTTGAAATAAATTTCAACTACTATCATATTATGGTCAGAAAACACAATGTTTCTTGCTTTACTACAGTATCTGTTTACATAAACTGTATCACTTTCCTTGGGGATTACTTCACATTTTTTATAATACTGACCAACATATGAGCATAGATATTCAAATCCGGATTCTGTAATCCCATTCATGTACAAATGATACCTAAATGTGTAGTTCCTCTGAACATTTGTTTATTTCTAAACCTAAAGCCCAGAAGTAGGTAGATTTACTCCATGTTTCATGCTCTAAGTTGTACACAGAGCAAGTACTATGCTCTCTAGGCAATCTTCTCTCTCTTGCATTTCTGGTCCAAGCCTAGTGTTCATTCTCTTCTTATAATAGCTGTGGCTTTTCTCCTGATATTTTATGTCTTTCTAAAACGAACATATGAAAAAACTACTCCTTTCTTTGGTTTGGTGATTAGTGCTTTTCCGTCATTTCAGGACCCACTTGCTATCACAGGCCTTCCCTTTTCCTGTGGTTAATAATCTATAAGAGTATTTCTAACAATCTAGAATATTATGACTAGATGAAATAGTCTGTTGGGAGCATCGTTCTCATTAGGTCAGGTGCAGTCAACGCATGTAACTTGCTTACATTATGTGGTTAACTCACTTACATTCTCTGAGTAATACTTGAGAGCTCTTCACAAGAAAGAATGCCTGGTGGCCATTCTAGTACACTGAAATGATCTCAAGAGATGACATATATCATTAACAAGAACCCTAAACATAATCTCTTATCAAAACTTTTTTTCTTCAATTTTTTTGTAGTTAGAGACTGATCAGAGATGGGCCTGCTGGGCTGATCAGGCAAAGCTTTATCCTGAGGCTGGATCATGACCGAAGTCCTCTGCTTCATCAGTCTAGAAACACACTCTGATTGATGCTCTCTGAAGTGAGGAAGCTAAGACTTCTACTCACAAGAGACTGAAAGAAAAATGTTTTTCTATTAATAAATAAAATGAGATAAAATTCACCAAAGGAGCAGAATATTTGATTTACACATTCTGTTCTTCTGAGAACAGCCATATGAGAAACTATAGGGTCATTATGTGAACTTAACATGACCGCAAGGGGTATTGTTAAGGCCAGTATAATAGACCTTTAATACTGTGATAAACACCTCCACTGTTGGGTCAAACATGCCAAGTGAGTTTCAGGCCTTCCCTTGGATGGTTTTCTTGTATTCTGGTGGAATGCAGACCACTTTCTCTCTGTTAACATATTCTTTCATGAGACAATAGCTTAAAAATAATAGCTACCTTCTATTAAGTTTCTACAATGTTATTATTGTCTTAATATAATAACAGTTAACACTTTTAAATACCTACTATGTTGCAGGCATAAGGAACTCACTTATCTCTTTTCACAACAACCTTATGAAGTAGGTACTTATTACAATCTGCATTTTTAAAGATACACTGAGAAATGAGTACTCTTCACAGAAGAATGTATAAAATGTGAATAATGATAAAATGAACACCTAAGTATTCACTATCCCTCTTAAGAAATAAAACACACATCACCTTCCTCTCCTGTCCCATCTTACTGAACCATTATTTTGAATGTGTTAATAACTTCTTTCTTCCCTAAGGTTTTCTTTTTTTTTAACTTTATCCTGAACAGCAATACAGGATTTCATGTTTTCTATGAATTGCTGATATCTTCTCCCATTTTATGGCTTTTTTCTGTTCACTGTATCCTTTGTAATTAATTTTAATGCAGTCAAATTTATCAGTTTTTCTCTTTGTGATTTATAGCCTATGTTTCTCATTGAAAAAAATCCTACTCATTCTTGAGTTTTTAATGATGATATTCCATATTGCTTTCAAAAGGCTTTATAGTTTTGACTTTCACCCCCTGGAAATGATTTTTATGAACGATGTGACATATAGGAAATCATTTACATTTTACAGATGAAAAAAAAATGACACAAGGTGATTAATTGCCTCGCTCAGGGTTCACAGATGGTAAATCATAGAGCTTGAAATTGAACCCAGGCAGTCTCGCTCTGGTCACCTGCCTCCTCAGGTGTAACTACAGCAACTATACAGATGCAGTAATGGATATTCAGGGAAGTGAAGTGACTTGTCTAAGGTAACACAGTCAGTAAGAGCTACCTACAGAGAATATGCAAAATTCAACATGCTTTATACCAGAGTTCATATATTTTCCTTACTATGGCCTGCCTTCCTAGGATCACATCCTGGTCTTATGATTCTGTTTCTACAAATTCTCCTTTCTCCTTGCTTTGGGGAACCATTTTATTCTTTAGTTACTTTTGCAGAGAGCTCGTTTTAGCCATATTCTTTCTACGTAACTGGTTTAACCCACAAAGTAAAAATTTCTCTCTTAATTCTGAATTCATCTGATGTCGTGTTTCTCTGAATTTATCACAGTCTTATTTCTTAGTCTGAATTTATATGTAATTTTTACCTCTTAGAGTCCCATCTGCTGACCTTCCAATATTGTGCATTCAAATGCTATTTATAGCAGATCATCTTACTCTCAGCTTCTTGTTACCTCTTTTTCAATGATTGCAATTAACACTTCAAGGATTTCTTTGATCTTGCTCCTTTCCTTCTCCTTGGGCTCATCTTTTACTGCTTCTTTCATTTAATTCACACTCAGCTAGTTCTATACAAGTCAAAGATAATAGCTGATTCTTCCCTGCCATGCCTTGCTAGGACAGAGATAAAGGTAAACTTTTTGATAAAAGTTAGCCACTGTTTCTTACTCTTAAACATGAATTATAAATGCTCAGTTTTGTGGTTAGTTTGGCTTTCAATGAAGCAAACTTAAGTCATTTCTGGAGTTTTTGAAGGTCTGTGATTCAGCCTAAATTAGCTCTAAGTACAATTGTCATGCATACAAATTACTCTTTTGGTTTTGCTAATACATCTCTCCCTGCTCAAAATGCCATTTGTCCTATGGTCACCTACTGAAATTGTGCTCATCATTTAAAGTCTAAGTCAGATATCACCTCCCTGTGGGTACTTTTCTGATCAGCCAAAGCAGAATCCAATGCATAACCAAAGCATTTTACATCACTCTTAGCTTAATATATTCAGTTTTGGAATACTTTAGTATTATACATATGGAGTCTCCCAATATATTGCAAGTTCCTTGAGGAGAACAGCCTAGAACTTATTTTAGGTAACTATAACTACAATAATCTTTCTTGTTGGGATTATAGTTTTCTAATGAGAATTTTATAGGCCTATTGTAATATCTTTGAAGGTATGTATTAAGCTTAAATGAATGACATGATTAGGTGAGCTTAATAATACTTTCTTCCTTCATGAAATTATTTAGGATTTACTCTACACTTGGAATTGTATCTTGCAGTAAAGATAATAGCATGAATATAATGCAGGTTCTGTCTCATAGACTGCTGAGGTAGATAGATGAGAAAACAAAAGAGAGGCCATGGGGTGTCATGGAAATGCCCATGCTTGAGTGCCAGCACAGCTGCTTGGTTACCAGCTTTGGCATGTGCTAGTGGTAGAGGCTTGGATATGCCTTCTAATCTAATGGTGCCTAAAAGTTTTCATTTGCAAAATGAAGGGAATAAATTTTCACCCTTTGGGAATGCTTTTAGGTATAGAGATAATGCACAATTATCAATAGATGAAAACCATTATTATTATTATTATTATTATTATTATTATTATAGCATAATATAACATATTAGCTAATGTGAAAGCAGCCAAGATTGTTTTAAGCCAATTCAGGCTGGAGGATTAATTTAGATGACTAAGTTAATAGAGTGGTATGTCCACCAAAACCAGACTTGTCCTTGGGACACTGTCTGCTTGTAGAAAGAACTACTGTCAAGAGCCCTTCAAATTTCATATGCAAGAGAATAGGGAAGTAGATAAAAGTTATTTAATGATTGTTATCTGTCACATTCTTATTAGTAGCCCTATAAAGGCCATTATAAGTTTTTAATATGTTCTCCACTGGCATAATAGCTATGTGAATAAATGGGCATTATAATCCCCTTATTACAGACGTCGAAACTGAGATTCAGAGAAGTTCAGTGTCTTACATCCACACAACATCTCTGATATTGTAGTCTAAAAAGGCTAATTATACTTCAAGAAAAGCATGTGTGTGTGTGTTTAGCCATTTTACCAGGGAGCATGTTATTAAATAATGACTTTGAACATCTTCCCTTATTAACTCCATTTCAGGTGTGTTTTGGGAACAGTGTCATCTTTTTGTTGCACCAAATGACACATAATGTACTATCCAGGATAACAACTGAAACCTAAAGTGTTCTTTAAAAAATTCCAATCTGATTTTTTAGAATGTAGTGGGCCTATGACTACTGGCAAATGGAGGTAATCTTTGCCCTTCTAGATAAGCAGGTAGCTGATATACCTCTTACGTAGTGGAATAGAAGACTATTATTTCCAGATGAAATAGTCTGTCTGTTGGGAGCATCACTCTCATTATGTAATCTAGGCTGAGTTGATGCAAAGGATATAATTAAGCATGGCTACAAATTTTGTCTGTGTCTCCTGTGGTAAAGCAAAGGCTAGTCCTATTGCTTTCTTTTCTTTGAATTACTGAAACATTTTTGGCTGTACTTTATATTTCATATATACTGTGTTGAAGTCAAGCTTTCAATATTATAGTCTTTTAATTGAAGAAATAGCCAAAATTTTTATGAAATAATATTACTGTGTATTTAACACTGAATTATGTTCTTCTCCTTTACTAAAAATTTGTGAAAATGAAGGTTCTTACCTGTATTGGTAATATTATAGTATAAATATATTATATTTATGTTATATATATTTGTGTACTATATGCCTTAAATATGTATATGTACTTAATTACATATGTATAAATATATATATATGTAGCCTCTTAGTCTTTTCAACAAAATAATCAACAAGATAATAAATAATGAGTAGAATTCAAAGTATTTTTGAACACAGTTATAAATATGTTCAAGTCTTCAAATTTGAGGAACACTCTGCTAGTATTTTTAATACTAAACATGAAAATGACATATAAAAAGGAATATATTTGTCCATGGAAAAAAATAGATGACTATTCTGAGGTGATACCTATCATAACTGGAGTGGCCTCACTATATGGCATATGGACTATATGGCATATGCCAAGGCTTAAGCCTTGGCAACAAGGACAATGAGTTGAGGAAAGACATTAGAATTAAAGGAGACAGGGCCTGGCTCTGTGACACTGAGTCTAGTCAACATGCAAGCCCTGGCACGGTTTGGGCAGATGTCAGCACCTTTGCTTGGGGAACATGGAGACAAGAATGTCAAATCTGGCCTGTGTGGCAATGTGAAGGGCTGTTAACTAATATAATCTAGTTGTTGGTCTCAGGACAATGTCATGTATCTTACAGCCTTTGGTAGAAAATCAAGGAGACATCAAAGAGAGGAAAATAATCACCTGGTAAGAGCTGCACAGGTTTCACAGCCGTGTTGGTTTCAGGAAAGATCATTGTCTTATCAGGCAAATGGAACAGGCCTGCCTTGTCCTCTGGAAGTAAGTGTCAACATGCTGTAGGAGTCAGGGAGCAGAGAAAACTGTGACTTGGAATCTACTTGATCTTAACCAAATGGGTATCTATTGGCACACCAGACACTGGGCCTATTTATTACACAATCCAAAGCCCATCACATGATAAACATAGAGTTTCTTACATAGTCTCTGACTTTGCCACAGTTGGCTCAGAGAAAGGGGCAGGTGAAGAGGGGTTCGGAAAGGCAGAGTCAGCTAGAAATTAAGTTCACCTAAAACTGCAGCCTGTTACTGATCTACCAGATAATATCAGAGAACAGAAACGAGAAATGGGATAATGAATAGCCATTGCTCCACTTGCAGCTGATACAATAATTAGAGATTTCCCAATCTGAAAAACAAAATCTCCCTGCCTGAATGTCCAACTCAGGCTTCTTAGGGATCAATAAATACTTGAAAGAAAGATTACCAAATGAAGGTAGGGAACAAGCTACCTTAGATTAAAGAACAAAGACAAAAGCAACCTTCATTTTTGTAATTTTTTCCCATAACTAAATATTCCCAAATGCTTTACAAAGCTTTTAATTGCATGCTAGCAGCAGAGGAAATGCTGGTACTGCTATGTGCCAGCTTTAGCCTACACAGCGCAGGGAACGTCAAATGAACTCACTAGCTATAAGGGATTTGCAGAAAGCTCACTCGATCTCTTCTCTTGGAAAGCACACCTTCTCATTTCCAAGCACCCACACATTTAATGGGGAATAAAGTGGCCTATCTATACTGCTTCCATCAAGTAGTCATGAAGACAGGAAAGTAGTCAAGATGGGGTGATAAAAGTGGGTGACACTTGCATCCTAAGATTCCAGTTAGAACCTTGTGATGCAAATATAGGCAGGGCTAGAAAACAGCTAGAGTCATTTGCATCCACAGAAAAAGACCTGAGCACCAAGTAGGGTATGAGAGTAGAGGGCAGGGGAGCTTTAGAGAACTTCAGCTGGAAAGAGACAGAATTGGCAAGACCTAGGGTATATAAAATGGTCCAGAAACATTTTAGGTTTCTGTTTTTAAAGGTTGGCCTACATTTCAGCACACCCACTCTCTTTAGATCTGTAGGTAACAAAGAGCTCCCACAAGCCCTTTCTCATCTGGCCCTTAGTGCAGGGACAGCATGACTAACCAGACCCTGAAATAATTCAACTGTGAACTCAGATGAGTCAAGGCCTGGAACCCTGAAACCCTAAGGCTCATTGGGAGAATTGCTTATATTTTAGTATAATAGGATTTTGAATAACTGTGTGGACACAGCAAGAGATGAGACTCTATATTATGCAAGAACCTTGGGAGGAAGGGCCTGGTATCACTTTGAAATGAATTCAGACTTTATTTCATATAAAACGGACATCCACTGAAAGATTTTAGGCAGTAACAAGATAATTATTAATTCACTTTTTCAGTAAACATGAACTGAGTGCCTGCTTCATGCCAAGCATTAGGGATGAATAACACACAGTGCTCTATCCCAAGGAGCATACAGTTCGGAGGGTGAGCCTCTTGTGTAAATTAAAAACTGCAGCTAAGTATTTACTGGTAGTGCTATAGTAACATCATATTTTATACTTATTTAAGGATAATAAAGAAGGATGAGAGGTTGGTCAATTTAACCTAAGTGTTGGAGGTAACGGATTTGGAAATAAAAGCTAAAAGTGGCTGATGAGATAACTTTTGAAAGATCAGTAAGAGCTCATTAGGTGAAGAACCAGAGAAAGGGCATTCTGAGTACAGGCAGACACATGATCAGGGCATGGAGATTTCAATCAATCTGACTTGTTTGGCAAAGTGTCTGAGCGTATCTGGAATGCAGGGGTGAGTGGGTGGGGTTTACAGCAGCTAGAGATACAAATCATCACCTTTTAGCCCACACTAAGGGGTCCTGACTCTGGCAGCAGTGTGGAAAGCAGGTGAAGTTTGGGGTCAATAAACAAGTTAAGAGATCATTACAATTGCACATTCAAAAAGATCATGACACAAAACAAAACAACACAATGGAGATAAGAGTAGTTGTCAGGTGTCAAGCAGTTAAGGCTGCAGACATGATGTGGAGATGAGGAAGGAGAAATTTTCCAAGTTGACACTGTGGCTCCTGGCCTGGGTCATTCTGGCTGAGGAAGGTGTCTATTCCTTTAATCTTTGCCTCCAGGAACAGGTAATAGTATTTCTGCACTCGACCACAGACTATTCCATCATTACTAGTGAAAAATAGAAAAAACACTTTGAAGTATTTGTTGTTTTATAAAGTACTTTTCCAGATGCATCTCATTTATCTTCATCACATCCAATAATTTAACATAGGTTATGGCAATCAGCAACCATTTGTTGAATGAATGAATAAATGAATGAATGAAAAAAGTGTACAATGATGTTGGATAGAGATTGAATATTGTGCCTGAATTTAAATCTTAAGCATTCTGAATCTTTCTGAATCTTGAGTGTTGATAATCCTAAGTATAGTCCCTCTATTTTGGATTGAATTCTGATTCAAAGCCTAGTGTTTATTGCAGTGAACCATAATGGTAGATTTCTAGACAGAAGGAAAAATAAAGATATCAAACCATAGCAATAGGTGTAAGACTGAACCCCTTACTACTTTCCACTCTTGGCCTCTAGTTATAAAATGGTAATAATATCTCTCTTAAGAGACTATTTTATGTTTAAATTAAATGAGATGATGAAATCTCCCAACACATGGGAGGTCTTGGACACAAGTTAAAGGAATCTGCTTTGATCATATGTTGCCCTACTTTATAGCAATTCTTTTCCTTTTTCATTCTTGCCAGCTTGTGAGATGCTGGCTACAGAATATGGTCATCAAATTATTTCTAAAGATGATACAGAAAGGCTCTCAAGAAGACTCTACATCTTTGTACTTCCCTTAGCAATTTCCACACATTAACAAGTCACATAAACAAGTTTCAGACTCAATTTTGTAACACAGACAATCATTCACTAGCAGGCAGCTACACTTATGGCCATGTAGGATGAATGTATGGCCATGTAAGCTGGAGGAAATTCCTGTTCTCCGTCATTTAGGTGCTCTGACAGCACTTGAATGAAAGATTCACTCCAGAGAGTTATGAAAGATTCACTCCAGAGAGTTATGAAAGATTCACTCCAGAGAGTTATGAAAGATTCACTCCAGAGAGTTATGAAAAATTTTAGTGCTAGGACTTGAACTTTGTTGCTGTTGATTTGTGGGAAAAAGGGAAGTCATTCCAAATATGATCCAATAATGGGCTAGCTATCAATTCTAATCATTGGTCACTATTTGGCATGGTACAATGATTGATCTCAACAGATGTTTTACAAGTGTATGTAATTAAGCTTAACACACTATTATAAGCAACATGGCATATCTTCAATGAAATCACAGACAATACAAAAGTGAAAGACTAGTGAGATGGGTAGAAAAGGCCCTTTAGGACCAGGACATGTGGGTTCCAATAAAAGCCCTGCCAAAAATGAGCACAATAACAGGATAAGTCTCTTGACTCTTCTGAGCTTCAGTAAATTTTATAGTACATCACAGGGAATTGTAAGGTTTAATATAATGATCTAGGTAAGATTGCTTTGTAAACTCTAGAATGCCATGTAAGTAATAAATTCAAGGCACTATCTTTGTTGTTACAGTGATCATCATCATCATTGTCCTTACTTCAAATAGTCTCAAATTGAGTTTCAAGTTCAGGGTATTGATTGAAAGAAGAGCACAAGGTAGCCATCAGTGGAGATTCTCTTAAGAAGCAAAGTTCAATAAAAATATAAGAAACATATGCAATTTTTAGTTTTCTAGCAGCCACATTTAGAAATGTAAACAAAATGCAAAAAAGAGTTGATGAAATTAATTTTATTAATATATTTTTAACCTAATATATTCAAACTAATATCATTTTAATATGCAAAAGAGAGTTGATGAAATTAATTTTAATAATATATTTTAACCTAATATATTCAAACTAATATCATTTTAACATGTAATCATTACAAAATTGATTTTACATTATAAAATGTTTAATTACTATAATTTTTACATTCTTTTTTCATGTTTTTTTTAGAATTATAGCATAACTAGGATGCTAAATTTTCATCAGAAATAATTGATCTGCATTTAGTTTTTATAATATGTAGAGAAAAAGTTGATGCATGTATCTGTGATGTTTCAAATACATTTAAAAGTTCTCCATAACTGAATGTAGGGCCAGTTTTAAAATTTAATTTAATTAAAGTTAAAAATTTGGTTTCTCAGTTGCACTAGCAGCATCTCAAGGGCTCTGTAGGTACATGTGGTAGTGGCTAACAGATTGGGTAGCACAAGCTCTAGAGTACAATATTTGTGGGATTAGGGGTGGTAGAGATAGACTAGTTCAGCAGGTACTAGGAACCAGCAGGGACATGAGGACATAGGACCACAAAAAAAAAAAAATGTGTAAGAAGAAGAGTAATCATACAAATAATTTTTCACATTTCACTTTAAGAAGTATTTATTTGATATTTAAAATATGCCAGGTACTGGGGATTCAGTGATAATTATCCTTACCCTTGAGCAACTTAGTGGTCAAGAGTAGAGTTAGATTAATAAAAGTTTATAGCAAGTTACAGTTTAACTATAGTTATGTGGGTGCTATTTCATCTTTTCACCACACTGTAAACTCAGTAGGAATTATCAGAGTGTTTTAGCTGAGGGTAACTGAGCTCAGAAATGCTATTTTACAATGTTGAGATGAAACGCTGGGTTCAAGGATACTACTCTGCACTCAATAGGATCATGCCAGAGAGGGGAGAATGTTTCCAGACTGTGCACTTGGTAGGTGGTCATGTCTTTTTCAAAGTGATTGACATTCCTGTCCTTTGGTATATATATCTACATTATTGGATTCTGGCCACAGGGAAGAGTGAAAACACTCTAGAGTTTAGGCCATCTTACCCTTTAGTAATTAGTCTTAAGATCCATCAGTAAAACATAGCTACTCCTTTTTAATTCAGAAACAGGCCCTGGAGTTGAAGACAAATGTCTTTTTCTCTTTCTCTCTGTTATAACTACTAGAAACATCTTTTTTCAAGGCAAGAGGGAAAGCCTAACCTATTTTAGAAGAGAAATCAATTTCAAGACTTAGAATCTTCTTGAGCAAGGTAAAAATCCTTAAGGCTCTGGCAGAGAATTCTCTCATGAAGATCCACATCCTCTAAGGAGTGTCCCACATAATGAGCCTTCTCAATTCCATTAATTGCAGCAACTTATTTTCCTCAAAAACTTGAAGCCAACCTGCTCTATGCTCCCCCTATCAAGTACATCTATTTGATATCTCTAGGCACATCTGTTCCACTGCTCCAGTTGTCTTAAGTGTCTGATAGAGGGGCAGGTGTGAGTGTCAGGATCCTCTTTCTTTGGCAGGGAAAGTTTCTTCCTGTAGGAGCCACAGGCATCTCCTTCTGATTGCCTGGCTTCGTTCTGCTTCAGTGGCTTTGATTCTGAACCCCTACACATAAAGCCAAATTATTATTTCCCTTGACCTGCTGAAGTACCAAAGAGTAAAAAAATTGCAGACCATTTTTCTAGTTTGCTATCTTTCTTGAATTGATTGTGCTCATCCATGTTGCTGTGCTGAAAGTTGCACTTAAAATATCATATAATGCAATGTTTTCTACCCATTGAGAAAGTATCAAGAATGTCACTTCTGGAAAATAACTGTCTTTGGGGAAAAAAATTAGATATATAACTTAAAAATGAAGTTAAATGAAAAGGGGTTGTTTAATTTAGATTAAACTCAATAATGTGCTTTAAAAAGGAAATGTGTTTTTTATTCCGAATTTCATCACCATGGATTGTATCACATTTTTTTTTTTTGTGCTGTGTGAGCAAAAAGAATAGACTCAGCAAGGGAAGGAGAATAGAAAAAGAAGGAATAAAGGGAAAGGAAATGCCAGACGCAGTGGCTCATGCCTGTAATCCCAGCACTTTGGGAGGCCGAGGCAGGCAGATCACTTGAGGTCAGGAGTTTGAGACCAGCCTGGCCAACATGGCGAAACCCTGTCTCTACTAAAACTACAAAATCTCGCCGGGCGTGGTAGTATGTGCCTGTAATCACAGCTACTCAGGAGGCTGAGACAGTAGAATTGCTTGAACCAGGGGGATGGAGGTTGCAGTGAGCCAAGATCATGCCACTGCACAGAGCCAGACTCTGTCCCAAAAAAAAAGGAAAAGGAAAGACAGCATTTGTTCCTCTATGTCTTAATCATATCTTTATCATAGAAAGGTCTTCATTACTTAGTCATGTTTTATTCTGGTACCGCATACTACCTTTTGCTATCAGTCCTGCATCTTTTTCTTAAACTTTCCTAACATAAAAGTGGGCTGTTAACACCCCTCACATAAAGACTTCACCCTAAATTCTTTTGCTGAGTCAGGCTGGATGGACAGTACACCTAAGTTTCTCCAAAGCCTCTTTTTGAATCTGATGCTTAGCACAATGTTTATGGTTTCAACCTAAGGTTCACTCTGGGTTTATGACTAAAATAGTCTTCTGACTACAATGCCTCAGATTTTCTTCATATATTTTCTCTTCTTTGAATAGCTCTGCACCTGCTTACCTCCAGGGCCTGTTCTGTGCAACCTGCTTTGGGAGACTTCTATGAGTCAGGAGAGACTCCCTATCTATGTCTCCAGCAAAAAGACAGAGAATGCTCTGAGATACTAGTATTTCCAATGCTTGATGAATAAGTGAAGGATAGATGGATGGATAAATGGGTGGATATATGGATGAATGGATGGATGGATGGATAAATAGATGGATGAGTCAATGATAGGATCCATGTGACACAGGAAAGGATGAAGCAAAAGACAAGGTGAGACTATATATGCAATAAGCTGTTACCCAGAATTCTGTTAACTGACACTTAATCAGCTCTGCAGCACAATGATAACTGATAAGACTAAAAGTGTCCCTGAGCCTCCAAAAAAGTTAAAGTGCCTTCTGAATTCTCAAAGGAAAAATAAAGTGCGTTCCTTGTAATTCAGTACTCAGAATATTAGGTTGAACTCAAATGCTCTGAATTGGCAACACATGCAAATATTGGCGTACATAACATCAATGTGATTTTTTAAATAATAAAAATTAAAAATGAAAGGAAATTCAAAAATTTTTTAGCCCAACAGCCTTATTATATGAATTGGCTATATTCCTTTGTCTGTTTACTCTCTAGTCACTCATAAACTTGCTTCTAGCAGGTTTGTTCCCTCTACTCCCTCAGGCTGCATTTGTCAGGGTCATCAATAAGCTGCACATTACCAGATTCTGGGGTAATCACAGTCCTCATCTTATTCAGCCTACTAGCAGCATTTGAAACAACTGATAATGTTTTCTTTGAACCTACTTTTTCACTTGGTTTCCAAGACAATATTTTCTCTTGGTTTTGCTCGTAATTGATGTTTCTCTTTCTCAGTGTCTTCTGACGGCTTCTCCTGGCCTCTAAACATGTGCTCCTGCCCTGCATCTTCTGTGCCTCTACTCATTCCCTTGGTGATGCCTTCCACTCCTATGGTTGCAAATCCGCTCATATTTAGATGATTCCTGGATTTTCATCTCAAACTTATTTATCTTACTACTGACTCAAGATCTCCACTTACAGATATAGATGTAGCATCTCTATCTGTAATCCACGTGTAACTGTATCTGTATCAATATCTATATTTTATCTATACATTTTAACATCTAACTCTGATCCTTTGCTTCTTGTCTACCCATGCTAAGTCCACTCTTCTTACAGTTTTCCTGCTCTCAGTAAATGAAATTTTTGAGTCACCCCTGATTGTTCTATTTCTCACACATCTCAAATCCAATTCTTAAGCAAAAATTTCATGCTATGAAATAGACCTTCAAAATAAATCTAGAACTGTTTTTCCCTGCTTTCCCTGCTACCACCCTAGTCCATATCACTAGCAGTGCCTAACTGGCCTCTTTGCATTTACAGTTGCCCACCACCCCCGGCAAGAGTATCCACTCTATAGAAGAGTCAGAGTTTTAAAAAGTGGTCAGATCATGCCACAAATCTACTCAAAATCCCCCAATTAGATTCCCCTCCCAGTAAAAAGCAAATACCTCACCATGAGCTTCGTGCCTTGCATGACATGGTCTCTGCCAACTCTCTGACCTTGTCTTTTACCACCTGACCCTTGTTCACTATGCTACAATCCCAGGCAGCCTTGCTGTTTTGGTGGCTATATTAAGCATGGGTTTCCCTCAGGCTCTTTGACCTCACTGTTCCCTCTGCCTGGAATGCTCTATCCCTAAAAAAGTGCATGTGCTCATTCCTTTATTTCCTTTAGGTCTCTGCTCAAATATCACCTTAGCAGAAATGCCTCTACTGACCATCTTAATTAAAATTTTACCCACATGCTTCTTTAACCTCTTTATCCTGTTACATTTTTTGTAACTCTTACAACTTGGGCATATTTATTTACATGTATCTATTGATTTGTGTGTCTGTCTTTTGTCTCTCCAAATACAATTTGAATTCCAGGAGAAAGAGACTCTACCTGTTTTGTTCATCACTGCCCTTAGCACCTAGAACAGTACCAGCACCTAGTAGGAACTCAATAAATAAATAGTTTAAAATATGTGATTAAAATGGAGACTCAGACAGTGGCCTGGAGTAGCCTGAAGAGTCAGTCAAAGAGATGGAATTCTGCCTGTCACTTTGGTGGTATCCTGCTTGACCGCTAATAGACCAATTTCTAAGCAGGTGGGATTATAGAAGGAGTATTGTGCATGTTCATATACAGAGCATAGAATATCAACAGTTCATTCAATTATTATTTGCTGATCATTCACTTTGTGCGAGGCACTGAGGCACAGAATGAATAATGTGAACACTTGTTCTCAGACTATAAAAAATTATCAGGAAATTGTGCTGTTGGAGCCTAGGCAAAGAATTCTTTTCCTAGGTCCATGGTGTTTGTGTAATTACAGATGATAATGCTTGAGTAAGTCCTGTAGAATTGAGTGGCCAGGCAGAAGTAAGGGCATCCTAAACAGTAAGACAACATGTGCCAAACTCTAGAGTCACAAGAGAGGCCGGCATGTTTAGGAAGTTGCAAGAAATATGGATGACAAAAAGAATGAAAGGAGAGGAGGGAGGCCGAAGAGATAACCAGGGGCTATAGGGTGGAAGGTTTGAGAGCTGATTCTACAGCATGTGGATTCTAGTCCTGAAGACTGTTGGGAGACTCTGAGTGAGAGGTTTTAAACAAGAGAAGAGAAAGAGAATTTCCATTTGAGAAAGATAGTTCTATTTGCCATTACTGAGAAACGCTGCTTGGAAAGACACAAGGAAGCTAGTTAAGAGGCAATTGTTATAATACAGGCTAAAAGGTAATGGGGGTCTGATATAAGGTGATGATAGTGAAGTGTATTCTGTTATGCAAATCCTGTTGGAATTATAACATCATAGTAAACATAAACATGTTGCCTCTGTGTCCCTTGGAGGAAATAAGACGAGCAAATATGTACCGTCCTTCAAAGTCAGTATCCAGGCTTTCTCTCATTCAGAAAACAGAGGCATATATAGATGAAAAAAGATTAAAATCTCAATAATCAGCCCTGACAACAGGGGTTCGTATCAGTGACAAAAGTTAGAAAAGATAAGAAGAGGAGCTTGTAATGGTATAGCTAAGATAAGCATCTAGGTTTTTTGAAAAGGTGGAGATGAACAGAGACAATTCAGACACAAGCTGGCAAGATTAGGGAGGGCTGGGGTGTGGGAAAAGAGGTGAGACCTTTCCAGGGAAACTGGAAGCATGACACTGAAAATGATACCCTTCTTGGAGCTGGAAGCAGGCCAAGACCCAGTGAGAATGTTCTCACTCTTTACTCCCCCTGGCTTCTGAAGCCTGCTATCCTTTTATAAAGAAGGATGATTGTGAACAAAGACTTACAAGGGAGAGGGAGAGAGAAGAATAGGCAAAATAATTTTCTGACTACAGAGGCTGAGTTTCCACAACATAAGACCCGTTGGCAAGTGGCTATTTTTTTCATAATAAAGACCAGATTTTTGAGGCATTAGTTCTAAAGCCTAATGATACATGGGAGAGCACAGAGAGAAATTTGGAGAACGTCATTGAAATTAGAAGATAAATAATTTGAAGGTTCAATGTTCTGAATCACTCATCCTCCCTATTTCTTTTTTCCCATTTGTAAAGTACAAAAGATGGTGGTGATAAGCCCTGTCTTGTCAGTCATCAGTGTGGGAAAATTGAAAAAGAGATCAGCCCCACATGTTAGGTCACAACTGCAATCGCAGTGCTTTGGGAAGCCAAGGCTGGAGGATAGCTTGAGGCCAGAAGTTTGAGACCAGCCTGGACAACACAGATACTATCTCTACAACATTTTTGTTTTTTAATTAGCCAGGTGTGGTGGCCTGCACTTGTAGTCCCAGCTATTTGGGAGGCTGAGTTGGGAGGATCTCTTGAGCCTAGGAGATTGAAATTATAGTGAGCTATGATCATGCCACTGTCCTCCAGCCTGAGTGACAGAGATAGACCCTATCTCAAAAAAAAAAAAAAAAAAAAAAACAGAGAGAGAGAGAAGTTAAAAGCGTATATTGTTAAATAATATTATTTATTTTAAAATAAATTTTAATAACAAAATAAATAATATTGTTTTTATATAACAATAAATTTTAATAAAATTTAATAAATAAAATTTAATAAATAAAATAAAATTTATATAAAATAGATTTTAATAACAATAAATAATATTGTTATTAAATTTTAAAAATAAAATCTAATAACAAAATAATATTGTTAAATAAATTTATTTACAATTTATTTAAATATTATTAAATGTTATTAAATTACTAAATAATCTCTTCTTGAGATTTTCCTAAATGATAAAGTATTCAGTGTGTTGAAATGAAAAGGCCAACCTTAAAAGATATGTTTGCATTTTTCTTTTGTTGTTCATTTTCCCCCATGAAATGCTAAAGCCATTCTTAATTGTAAATGTTTAAACATACATACATGCAATGAGAATCTGGCTTCCAGGATACGTTATTGTTCTATCTTTTCTTGTCCTTCTTTTCTCAGCTACTTTTAGGCCATTTGTTCAAAGTGTTATTGCTCGGTAGGTGCCATCTACATGGTATTTTGTAGCTTCCATGATGACAGACACACAAGATGAACAATGAATAATTGTAAAGAAAATGTGCATGAGCCTTAAATGTTATTATTCTCACAGTCTCCAACTATAGGATCTTCAATATCGACTGTGACAAATGCATAGCAGTAATTGTTTAGCCAGGACTTAGATGCTCAAAAACAGACTGATGTCACACCCCAGCGTCTAGGAGCCTGACTCCTAGTTTAGTGCTTTTAAATTCAGGAGTTTTTCTACCTTTGCATGCACCAAACGCTTTCTGCTCCTGCTTCCTTGACAAATGTGCTATTTCAAAAAGATGTAAAATCCTGGGAAATGTAATTGGCTGGATGTGGGCCCCTAATGTCAGGGGCAAACACCAAAGCTAGGTTGTCAGAGAGAATCACTCATCCTCTAGTCAGGCCGTTGGCTTTCCAGGTCCAGCTTATACTAGGCAGAACACTGGAATACTGATAAGAGAAAAGGAGAAGACTGTATTCTAGCCAGTGGGAAGAACAGTGCAGAGTCTTGACAGGAGTAAAAGTAGGCTTGTTCAGCCGGGTGCAGTGGCTCACGCCTGTAATCCCAGCACTTTGGGAGGCTGAGGCGGGCGGATCACGAGGTCAGGAGATCGAGACCATCCTGGCTAACATGGTGAAACCCTGTCTCTACTAAAAATACAAAAAATTAGCCAGGTGTGGTGGTGGGTGCCTGTAGTCCCAGCTACTCGGGAGGCTGAGGCAGGAGAATGGCGTGAACCTGGGAGGTGGAGCTTGCAGTGAGCCGAGATAATTAAATGAAAGTAATGTAATATGTTTGGAGCTTAGACTTGGAGAAAAGGCGTGAGGAGCTAGTGGAGAGAGATGGGACAAAAATGTAAAATAGGCGTGAGACTGTGAAAGGCTTCCAGCCAATTTTAAGGGTAGTAGAGGATTGTCTTAATTATTCGTCGAGGGTGAGCAATGCTTTGACCTTAATGCACAGAGTGGCTTTGGCCTTGCAACACATTTGTTCAGTTCTAAAACAGCAACTTTCTCTAGGATTTGTTGCTGGTGTTCTCCTATAACTTAATGGTTAGGGACAGTTGCGAAAAAGAAGTACTATAGATTAAAGGTTAACAATCTACTCTCTGCAGTCATATTGCCTGAATCCATATGTCTGTTAGATGTGCAACTGTGAGCAGATATTTGATTTCTTAAGACTCAGCGTCTTCATCTGTAAAACCAAAGAAAATAATAGTGCTTATTTTGTATAGTCATTGTGGGGATTAAAAGAGTGTTTAGCCCAGGGCCTGGAATGTATGTGGAAAAGCAAACACATTTCCTTTTATCATTATGGTTGTTATATTTATAAGGGACTTTCATAGTTTCTCCTGTACGTAATGCAAACTTATTAAACATCTACAATGGGCAAGCACTACAAAAAGAAGAGAGTTCCCAGCTATAGAGATTGAAGAACATCTATGCAGTACAAGTCTTTGGTTTGGCCAGAGCTCAGTGCCCTGTGGACAAAGTACTCCATCCACAGATCTCAGCAGGCATCTGAAATTCTCATTTTCCTTCCACAATCAGTTGACAGGACCTGCCTGAGAAGAAAAATTAAGCTGTGGTTCATGGCGACACGACAGTCTAAGGTGGAGGCTGTGTTTAAGTGGGGTCAGATGGTCTTTAGCTCAGTTCCCATCGAGATCATCTTTAGATTATGGCACTGTGCTTCTCCTACACAGTGATCTAAGATTAATCACAAACCTTCATTGTGCCTGTTGAAAGTGTGTGTTCATAGTCAAAAATTTTCCCGGTAGCCAAAATATTAATAATTTTTTGATGGACCCAAATATGCCATGTAGCAATATTTTTTAAAATCAGGTTTAACATATCAGAGGCACATTTGAGAGATTTTCTATTTTTCTACTTAGCTGTCAAGTTGATATAGTTAACATTTACTTTATGCCAGCTTCTATATTAAATGCTTTCCATGCATTACCTCATTTTATCTTCACAGCAACTTTTTTGTTCTTCCCATTTTATTGATGTTACAACTGAGGTTTCACAGCCTGTAAGAGGTAGACTTTAGATTACAACAAAGATCTGGTCTATACAAAACTTAAAATTAGTAACTGCTGCACTAGAATACTTACTGTGAAAATAATGAATTGTTTCCTTTTAGGATTATAATTCAGATTCTTAAGATCCCCTTTGGCATTCTTCTCTTTGGGGTCAAACCCATGTGAAAAATATATTATACTTTATATGCACATATAAATCTGCATTCGCTGTCTTTTATGAATGGAAACAGCACTACTGAAGACAATCCAGAATACAGGTAGGGTTTTAAAGACCCATATGTGATAAGCAATCTGTGCACATAGAATTGCTCATTTATACTAATTACTAGTAGTGTCTAGTGTTTATAGGTAACCAATTCACATACCAATTCATTCCATGTGCTCCTTAAAAACCTTATTCACTTTATGGGTCTCAATGATTTCTTACAAATTCACATATAGTTCTTAGGATGTACAATAATATTGACAACAGCAACAATAATAATAGAGTACTACTAACATTGCCACTAATACCATTTATCGAAGTAAGATATGCTCAGGCAGTACCTAAGCACTTCATATGTGTTGTAATGTAGTAAAAATTATCCCCATTTTACAGGTAAGAAAACTAAGATTCAAAGAGGTTAAGCAATATATACTAGGCCATATAAAGTAAAAGATGAAGTCAGATTTCAAATACAAAGAAAACTCAATCCAAAACCTCTGCATATTATTTGTACTATACTCAATCAGAAATTCTTGTTGTTGTTGTTCAATGCCACTTCTCATTGCTACTTAATCATATCTACTTCACTCTTCAACATTCTGGAAATAATTGGAAGTATTACTCTCTCCAGCCTCCCCTCCTCTGTTAGCCTCCCCTCCTCTACTGAGGGTTGGCACTGCCTAGGGGGTTTTTGTGGCTAGAGATACAGAAGACTTTGGGTGAGGGGTATAAATGGGGGTATGCTTTCTGAAATCACGTTGTAAACCACAGCAGGTCCCAAATTGAACACTAACGTTCATTAACCAAACAGCCAGGCTCAAGATGTGAGTGTTAAAAAAGCTGAGAGGGCCAGAAAAAAGTTTGATAACTATTATATTGTATATATGTATTGTATATAGCTCTGTAATTTATGAACTTGCAGACAATATGGATGTGTGTGTGTGTTTCAATTCATAATCTAGGACTAGTTGTTAACTTATGAATTCATAGGTGTCTTCAGAGGCAGTTATGAGTCAGCCATATTTATCATCAATTAATACAAAAGGCTTTGCTAATTAACTTAAATATTAAAATAGGTTCCCAATGGTGATGAATTAGTAGTATTCAAGATCCACGCATTGCTCAAGATATTTGAAGGCATCCCTCTCCCTAGCATGAAGAAAATGTCCAGTGAGGTATCTGCCAATCACTCCCCAGGATGGTACTGAGGGCTGGATTCTGAAATGGATCTGCATCCAGCTATGACATCTGAGTATTCTCTTTGCCTAATGATGCCTGTAAGCCTAGCTGTATCCTGTTTCTATATTGTTGCATGTTCTGTAGTAAACCTCTTTGGTATGTTATATTCATAGCACCTAAAGGACAGAGAATTGGTACATCTCTGAATGTATGAAATAGGCTACTGAGCTGTTATTGTGGAACTGCATTTAAAATAAATATCATTTCTTTTTTTCTCTCTTGGTTTTTTTTTAATACTTTAAGTTCTGGAATACATGTGCAGAACATGCATGTTTGTTACATAGGTATACATGTGCCATGGTGGTTTGCTGCACCCATCAACCTGTCATCTACATTAGGTATTTCTCCTAATGCTATCCCTCCCCTACCCCACCTCCCAACAGGCCCCAGTGTGTGATGTTCCCCTCTCTGTGTCCATGTGTTCTCATTGTTCAACTCCAAGGATCTAGAACCAGAAATATCATTTGACCCAGCAATCCCATTACTAGGTATATACCCAAAGGATTATAAATCATTCCACTATAAAGACACACACACTCATATATTTGTTGCAGCACTATTCACAATAGCAAAGACTTGGAACCAACCCAAATGCCCACCAATGATAAACTGGATAAAGAAACTGTGGCACATATACACCATGGAATACTATGCAGCCACAAAAAAGGATGAGTTCGTGTCCTTGCAGGGACTTGGATAAAGTTGGAAACCATCACTGTCAGCGAACTAACACAGGAAGAGAAAACAAAGTACCGCATGTTCTCACTCTAAAATATATATCATTTTTAAGAAATATCTCTAAGTATGGCTGAATTTGCTGACACTTGCTTTTATGATAATCTGATATCCAAGTACTGATGTTGAAAGAAAGTAGCTAACTCTCATTTCCATCTAATTTTAGGTGCTACCAAAATCTACTGCAAATAACCTAATAATTGTACACAGACATCTTGACATAGGCCAGTTCTCAACAACAGTAAAATTTTGAGCCTGGAGTATGAGAGCTGTAGAAAGGACAGCAGAAAAGAAGCATTGAAAATAAATAAAAACTGGTCAGGGGAAATTTGACAGAACAGGTATTGAAGTCTGTTTCTTGCATTTATAAATTGAGTTCACTTTGGCATAAGATACCAGCAGACATCTAAGATGCAAGAGCTGGAGTGGAAGTTGATACCTTCCTTATACTCAAGATCTCTTTATTAATGATTTTGTCTTCCCAAAATAATTATAAGAAAAATGAACAATCAGGGGCCATTCTACCTATTGTAAGCCAAATACTTGGATATGTCAAAGAATCCAACTGTTTATCTCCATCTTGTCCTACCGTGCAAGTGACCAATACTTAGCTTTACTATCTCCCCAGCTCAGCCTCACTTCATATCAAGAAGTGAGTTTTGAGCGCCTAGTTGTGCTGCATATGTAACAGGTTTTCCTGATGAAAGTCCTCAATAAAATTGATGTGACTGTACAAATGGTTCAGGCCAAATGATCATCTAAAACAAGTTCCACGTGGAAGTTGGTGCTATATTCAACCTTCCTATTGCTTTTCCAGTTTCCTAAATAATAGGCAACATTTTGGGTTCATGCAGCTATTTCTCTTTCCATTATTGCCACCAAAGTTTACAAAATTTCTAGGGAAAATCAAAGTCTATGTGTTAACTCTCACTAATTAATGTAGGGTAATACATGATCACAGCTTTCTTAAAGAGTGACATAAATTCATCATCGCAGAGCAGCATAGTCTATCTTTTCCAGGACTTTTTCTTTCTTTCTTTCTTTCATAAAGCAAAACTAAAGCTAGTGAACAACCAAACAGAAAACAAAAATGAACACACACACACAAACACACACAGCAAACCAAAGAATCTCCTTCTTAATGGACTCTCTAGGATGCTAGAGTCTTTTTATCAGTTGAGAGAGAGTCAGAAACTGGTCAGCTTCCTAGCCCTTTAATTCACTCTTCAGTAGGCATGAGTCAGACTGAATAAAATACTCCTCTTCTCCAGTATGTCTAGAAAATAAGCAGTAGAGCACATAAAAGCATTGACATGTTCTAAAGAGAGGTGGCTTTTCGCTATGATTCTATCCTGTTTGGACCTACGCTTACCTTGCATTCAGCCCAGAAAGGTCAATATTTGGAAGAGAACAAGATTATTTATGAAACTGCAGGAACACACATTTCATTTGGATGTGCTAACTGTGCCTTCTGCACTTTTTTTGCAGTATCTCCATAGGAAGCCAATATAAATGCTACCTATTATTTTTGTGAATTGAGCTCTTAATTTGCATCTGTTTTCTATTGGATAACTCCAAGAAATTGAGATCACAAAGTTTAAAAAGGAGAATACCTGTTTAATGTTCCATGGCAGTCAGATTTTGTGCTTGATGCATGCTCACAGCAAAAGCCTCCCAGGCAAGAGGCAGAATGAACAATTTAACCAATCATTGACTGCTTGAGTCCATTGTGGGAACGGAGAATAAGGCCATTGCATTAATGCGGGGAAATAAAGTCTCATCTTGAGCACTGCATTGTTAAAAGAGAGACTTATTTTAATGTCTGTCAATATAAAATGGATATTTTAAAGCAATACATAAAAATTCAGAAAAAAAGTCTATTTCAAAGTTATACAGAAATCCAGCATTAAGGACTCTAAAATAGCATATCCATATTTTTCTTTGTTGGGTCTAATAAAGACTAATCACAAATTTTAAAATGCAATGCTTTGTAAAAATTTTATAGATATTTATTGGAAGTTGACTCCTTTAGTCTCAGAAACTAGACCTTACTAAATGTCTCCTAAGCGTCAGGGACTTTGTGTACTTTTTCTGTTTTAATATTTACAACAAATTACCTTGTAAGGTAGCTGCTACTTTTTCTTTTCTTTCTGACGAAGGTTTGATACTATATTTGTCTGTTGATGTATCAGTTAGCTGTCCCCTTTGAGTAACAAACAACCACAAATCTCAGTGATACGCAACAAAAAGTTGACAGCTTATGCATATGGAATTAGCTCTTCTGTTCTTAGTTGGGCTTTCTCACAGGTCTGGAGGTTTCCTGGTTGTCAGCTGGGATGACTGGAGCAATTTGACTCTGTCCTACTCCTCTCTCAAACTGTCACAGGTTGCTCCAGACACATTATTCTCATGGTAATAGCAAAGCTGTAAGAGACTAGAAATGCGCAGTTGCTTTCGCAAGTCTCTGTTAGCTCATTTCTATCAACACCTCATTGGACACAGCAATGCATATAGAAAATATACTCTGCCTCTTACAAAAAGGAGCTTCAAGTTTCCACAACAAAGGGTGAAGATTTGGGCCCAATAAAGCAACCCATGTACCACAGATGACAATCTTGTCTATTTATTTCACCAAATTATTGTCCAATTTCTGTTAATTAAACTTTCAACCTATCAGCAATACTTGCTACTTTTCTATACAATGTAGAAAACTAGAAACCAAACCAGGCACTCAACAGCCTTTATATAGATCAGTAAGTATTCCAAAACCCTCTAAACTCATTTATTATTTTTGTTCATAATGAAGATAGTGGTCATAATAGTCATCATTACTGACATTTATTATATGTCAGACACTGACTAAACACTTAGAAATCTTAGTGATTCTACTGAGTGGGTATTATCCCAGTTTTATAAATGAGGAAATAAACCAAGGCACAGAGTGATAACGAAAATGAGATGCAGAGAGATTAAGAGATCAGTCCGAATTTGTCTTGCTGGTAAGTATTGAACCTTGAATTTAAAACCAGATCCATCAGATGATAGATAACACCTGGGCTCTCAACTGTCAGTCATTCCATAAGTCCAAACCATCCAAACTGTAACAGAGAGAATTTCATGTCATTCCTCCGTGAGGAAATTACCATTGCTTCATCTTGTCTCTTGACTATCAGAAAAATATTACATTACCCTAGTGACATTTAAATTCCAACATACTCTCGGTACAGTATTATTCTCCACTCTTTCCCAACACATTTGTTCTAATGGTGCAAAGTGCTCTGCCGTGTCCTCAAGAGGCTTGCTCCTTCCCACTTCCCTATCTCAATTTAGGTCCTCTCCAACAGTGCCCCTCTTAACCCATCTGCCTTCTAGATGTCTGAACCAAAATGTCCACTCCAGTTAATTATACTTTCAGTTTGTAAAAGCATTTAAGAGCTTACAAAGTGCCTTTGCATTTCTACATACATTAGTCAATTCTGACAACAACTGTAAGGACAAATAAAAATTAAAAACCACAGGATTGATACTCCCTATTGCAAACAAAGGAAGAGACCTCCCCCCTTCTTTTGCTTGGAGCATTCACTTTAGAATACTTAAAATTATAAGTACCTTTCTCCTCTCTTTAAAATGTACATAAATTATTTTGAAAACTAGGCTTTTGGCCGGGCGCGGTGGCTCACGCCTGTAATCCCAGCACTTTGGGAGGCCGAGACGGGCGGATCACGAGGTCAGGAGATCGAGACCATCTTGGCTAACACGGTGAAACCCCGTTTCTACTAAAAATACAAAAAATTAGCCGGGCGTGTTGGCGGGCGCCTGTAGTCCCAGCTACTTGGGAGGCTGAGGCAGGAGAATGGCGTGAACCCGGGAGGCGGAGCTTGCAGTGAGCCGAGATTGCGCCACCGCACTCCAACCTGGGAGACACAGCGAGACTCCGTCTCAAAAAAAAAAAAAAAAAAAAAAAAAAAAAAAAAAAAAAGAAAACTAGGCTTTTGTCAACTTAATGACACAGGAATGTCTGTCTCAAACACCTGAAAACTATCTCTTTGAAATGTAACCATCAAGAGAAATAGAACTCCTATCTCCCAGTTTCCATGAGAGAGTAATAGAGAAATAGAACTCCTATCTCCCAGTTTCCATGAGAGAGTAATAGCCTAAATTCCCTGAGCACCTTGCTCCAAGTTGTAGAACTAGTTCCTCTCAGAAACTTACGAGAAGTTTGTTTTTGCTGTGGCCAAAGCCAATTACCTAACTCAGATGGTCACCTCAATTATTAGGTAAAGTTAGGATGAACTATGGGCGACAAATGGTACTGTCAAATCCTCTTATTTGAGAACCAGTTCTTTATCGTGTGAACATGTATATAATAGGTTGTATCTGCTTGGCTATATAAAATGGTGAGAGCTCTTCCTGTCTTTGCAGCCTCTCAGTGGATTTCATATGATGAATAATCACATTCTGGATTAATGTTTAATTAATCATAAAACTATTTTCTTTCTGTACTACCTTCGTACAGAGGATTTTCAGGTTGAGGGAAGATTTTGTTTTTTATTATTTCCCCAATATACTTTGCAAGGTAAATATTATACTCATTTTTACAGCCTAGGAAACCAAGGCTTAAAGAGATGAACTGATTTGCACATTTAGACAGCTAGTAAGTTGTAAAACTAGTGGGTCTACATGTGCATGAAATCTGGGATCATCTGTCCAGCTGATAATTGTATTCCCAATGCCACACACAAAATATGGCACATAGTAAAGGAACAGTTAGTATTTTGGGTTGAATAAATAAAACCCTGAACCAAACTCCTTCCAATATTATATTTGCTACTAACTTTGTAGCAACGCTACGTTGCTACAAATTTAGCAATGGTGAGATGCCCACAACAGCTTGGAAATTAGGGGAAAAGATTATCATCTGACAGTGAATTTGTGAGAATAAAATAAATTTGACCTTTAAATAACATGAGAGTCAAGGGGGCTGACACCCTATGCAGTTGAAAAGTCATGTATAACTTTTGACTCCTCAAAAACGTTAGCCACTAATAGCCTACTGTTGATCAGAAGCTTTATTGACAACAAAAAGTCAATCAACACATATTTTGTATGTTATATGTATTATATATTGTATTTTTATAATAAAGTAAGCTACAGTAAAAAAAAAAAATATTGAGAAAATCATAAGAAAAAAAAAATTTAAGAGATAGGTTTTTCACTCTGTTGCCCAGGCTATAGTGCAGTGGCATAATCACAGTTCACTGCAACCTCAAATTCTTGGGCTCAAGGGATCCTTCTGCCTCAGCCTCCTAAGCAGCTGGGACACAGACACACATCACCATTTCCAGCTAATTTTTTTTTTTTTTTTTTTTTTTTTTTTTTTTTTTTTTTGAGACGGAGTCTCGCTCTGTCGCCCAGGCTGGAGTGCAGTGGCGGGATCTAGGCTCACTGCAAGCTCCGCCTCCCGGGTTCACGCCATTCTCCTGCCTCAGCCTCCCAAGTAGCTGGGACTACAGAAGCCCGCCACTACACCCGGCTAATTTTTGTATTTTTAGTAGAGACGGGGTTTCACCGTTTTAGCCGGGATGGTCTCGATCTCCTGACCTCGTGATCCGCCCGCCTCGGCCTCCCAAAGTGCTGGGATTACAGGCGTGAGCCACCGCGCCCGGCCTTCCAGCTAATTTTTAAAGGATTTTTTTTTTTGAGATGCAGTCTCACTATGTTGCCCAGGCTGGTGTTGAACCCCTAGCCTCAAGAGATCCTCCTGACTCAGCCTACTTAATAGCTGAGATTACAGGTGTGAGTCACTGTGCCCAGCAAAAATATATTTAAGTGAATCATCCTAAAGGTCTTCATCCTCATCATTTTCATGTTGAGTGGGCTGAGGAAGAGAAAAAGGAGGAGTTGGTTTTGGTGTCTCAGGAGTGGCAGAGGCAGTAGAAAATCTGTGTGTAAGTGAACCTGCACTATTTGCACCTGTGTTGTTCAAGGGCTAACTTGTATAATGTAATGGTCAGAGTGGAGATATTCAGTAACTCTGAGAGAGAATACTTTATCACCTAGGATTAGATTATAAGTTGATTAAAAATATAAAAACACATAAAGAAATAGTGCAGTGATGTTTGAGGAATGAGTGTGATCAGCCATGGGATCACTGAAAAAGAAAACTGAAGCAATTTCTGGTAGGAGCCATTCCACTATTAGTTGCATTGGTAAAGGCAACTTTAACCAACAGTGTCATTGGTAAGACCATCCCTAAAGTGAAATGGGAGCATCAGGTCTTATTTTGATCCAGTTAAAGTGTAGAGTTATTAACTTAAAAAAAAAAAAAAAAAAGAAAAGAAAGACTTGATCGATGGACTTTCAGCATCTGTTGCTTAACTTTATAGTAAGTCAGTTGGTAGCTTATGGTTCATTTTGCTTTCTAATAAAAGAATATTTTCTATTCTAGTCATGCAGACATGGCAGTTTTCTGTCTGTCTCAGTGTCATAGAAACTTCAGTTAGGACAAGTTAGTCAAACTCTTAGGACTTCATCTTCTCTGGGCACTGGCATGAGCAAGTCTCTGTGTCTTCAAAAAAAGGATCAAATTAGATTGGCCTCCTCTTACACCATCGGGTTTCAATGCATTTTGTGTGTGATACACATGATAGAACAATTTCATGGACCTGAAATACTGTCCCCAGGAAGTATGCATGCGCTATAACGTTTTCCCTTGTTGCCCACTCAAGAAAGTGTGTAATAAGCAATACGACATAAGGAAATGCAAAACATTTCCACACTTTGCTAACAGGCAGGCTGTGTAACAAAAGATGGGAGGAGTTTAGGTCACCATATACATGTAGAAGATCCTGATAGAATAAAGTGGTGGTTTGCTGTAGTTCGTTCATACCAGCTCAAAAGAGCTAATTCTGTTTGTCTTTTTCCATCTCTGCATTCAGTGATATTACACAGGTAGTTTGAAATAGGCCAGGGTGAAAGTACTTCATCACAGATTTTAGTATATCCATACATATCCATGATATCTTTAAAATATTTGGCTATGAAATACTTTTGGCAGTGATGCAATGTTAAGATAAAATTGAAATCCCTGTAAGTTACAAAAAAAGAATGAATTAAAATATTATTGTATCAACTATTTCATGTTCCAGTCACATGTGACACACCACGCTACTGGTCATTCCTTTACTTGTTGATTAACTGATTCAATACATGTTCAAAAGCCTACTATGACCAGGCTTTGCTATACTAAGATACTATAGTTTAATATTGTCCCCTGATATCACTCCCAGATGTAAGCATTCTGAGTTTTACTCTTTTCAGTCTCCAAATACTCATCCATGTGTCCTCGAAAGCAGTTCCTCTCTGGTTATTAGCAGATGGTGAGATTTTCCAATTCCCTGTGTAGTACCTAACGTTGCTTCATACAGTATCCTATGTGCCATGCTAAGTTTCTTACACAATCCTCATTCTTCAAAGCTACTACAGTATTTTATTATCCCAGCTATTACAGGTGAGGAAATTTAGGCACACAGAATTTAAATAATCTGTCCTAGATCACATACTAGCAAATGCTAGTCAAAATTCAAACCTAAATAAACCTAAATAAGAAATTCATATGCATATTTAACACTATTCTTTGCTACCTCCCAACAAGACTTTTAAGGCTATGATGTGACACTTCATGTGCTCAGTAGAGAGTAACACAATGAATAAGTTCATTCATTTGTTCATTAAGCATTTACCCAGTTCTTACCATAAGCTATGGTGATCGTGTTTCTCAAAATGTATCCTATATACATTCGGGTATGCTCAGAAATGCTCCAGGCAGTTCCCTGCAGAGTCTCAGAAGAAATATGGCTCATCTTCCAAGAAATTCAAGAGGAAGGGGGTATTATTCTCATGATAAATTAAATATATATTAGAAATAGAATGTAAAATTTATATGTTTTAAGAATGCTGGAGAGTTCTCAGAGATTTTACGCTTTGGGACAGCAACCTTGGCCTTGCAGTTCATTCCCAAGCTGGGAATACTCTATGGCTGAGAGAGTTCAAAATCTTAGTTATTACATAAGAAGGCAGGCTCCAGAGTGAGAGGACTTGGGTTTACTTGATTGACCTCTTTTTGTTGTTGTCTCTCATGCACTATGCTGCAAGTATACTGGCCTCCTTTCTGTTCCTGCTCACTCTTCACCCTGGCTGGAAGTCTCTTTCCCTGCATCTTCTATGCCTAATTTGTCTTAGCAGATTCAGTTCCACGTAGCTTAAACTCTACTCTCACTTTGTTAAACATTCCTTGACTCTCCTATCTAAAGCCACACTCTATACCCATATTTACTGTATTTATCATTATATTTAATTTGTTTTTCATAGATATATCAGTAGAGGAAGTTATCTTCTTTATTGTTGCTGCTTGTTTTCATGTATTGTCTTTATCACAAACATTTAAGTATTCCAAGATCCAGAAACTTACTTGCTTATTTACATCTTGCTTCCCAATCTCTATCATAATACCTAACAAAAAGGGGTATTCAATAATCTTGTTAAATGAGTGAATAAATGATGGACATGCAAATCATTTGCAACTTAATTAAACCCTCTCCTTCAGTGTCTATATTTATTAAAAGAGGAAAGTATAGCAGCTTTTCAGTGTCAGCATGAAAATTTACAAAACATATATACAGAGTACTTAAAAGCATGCCCAACATATAGTAAACACTTAATAAATGTCAGTTGTTATTATTATAACAGAACTACACATAAAATCTATGCATAAGAGCAACAGAAAAGTGCTTTTCTATATTTCTATATTTCACAGAGACTGTATTGAAGAGGCATGCTAAATTAAAGATATATAGATTCTTTAAACCCACCTCTTAAAACTGCAACCAATCATCTGGTAGATTTATGTTGGTCTTATCACTGTGGACATAAGCTGTATTATTCTCCAAGAGCAGTGAAAACCATAAAATCCTTCCCTCATAAGAAGGCTATAAAATGTAATCAATAAAATGTAAGACGATGGCCATAATGATTAATAGCAAGGGCATGAGCAGAAAGCTGCTTCTTCTTGTTAATATGTTATAAATGCTTATAAGTTGTGGATGTGTTTATTTATGTGTTTATGTGTTTGATGCTGACCACGTACATATAAAATATGACAATATGATGCTTGCCCTTTTTAATTTGAAATCATAAAACCTTGAATTGAGGCTGCTTCATTGCTATAGAAACTAGTCTGTGTTCAATATCAAAACTTCCATTTTTAGACTCTCTTCCATGTTAACCAATAGACATTTTACCCTAAAATCCTATTTTTCAAAGTAATAAAAAAATTGAGGTTTATTTAACTGTTGTAATTTTTAAAACTACAAGATTAAGTTTTGATTCATTTTCACAGGTTGATAATCCAGCTCACTTTCAAGATCATATCACACATTTAAAAATATTGTTTGATGGTTGTAATGGATTCTGTTATAGATGCTGGGGAAATGGCAATGTATATAGCATACCCAATCCTGTTAATGATGTTTACATTCTAGTGTTGGGGAGAGAAATAAAAATGAAGCAGATGTGGTAGATTGCATTGTTTTTCCCTATTCTTCAACCTACCTTTTCTACAGAACCTTTAACAAATGTCTTTGCACTTCTTCCCTTTAGAGACAGAGGACAAATCCTTGCCCCAAGCTTGAATTTGATAACAGTTTCCTATACTTTTTTTTTTTTTTTTTTTTTGAGAGATAAGGTCTCACTTTGTCACCCAAGCTGGAGTGCAGTGGCACAATCTTGGCTCACTGCAACCTCCCGATTCAAGCAAACTCTCCTGCCTCAGCCTGCCAAGTAGCTGGGATTACAGGCACACGCCACCAAGCCTGGCAAATTTTTGTATTTTTAGTAGAGGCTGGGTTTCACCATGTTGGCCAGGTTGGTCATGAACTCCTGACCTCAAGTGATCTGCCCATTTTGGCCTCCCAAAATGCTGGGATTATGGGATTGAGCCACCGCTCCCAGCCCTATGAGCCACTTTTTGAAGTTTTAGCATCTGAACTAGGGTCCAGCTGGACTGACCACCATGCTTTCAAGGACTCTAATTTGTAAGAATGAGTTAAAGGAGATCACTTCCTAACATAGCCCACCAGTCATTGTAGCTAGTACTGATTAGGTCTGTGTACTTCCCTTTTATTCAGTAGTAACAGTGTATTGCCCATCATTATTCCAGCTCATTTCCCAATGACCTGTACCTGATATTCCTGTTGCCTTATTATTTCTTCTCTTCTTCACCTTACTTTGTTCAATCTTACTTCTACTTCACCATCTCTGTGCTCTGGAAACTACTCATTTTGTTGTGAATAAACTTTCCTTAATTTACAGATATTTTTCTACATCATAAAAGCAATACAGGCACATCTCACTTTATTGTGCTTTGTTTTATTGCAATTTGCAGGTGTTTTTTTTTTTTACAAATTGATGGTTTGTGACAACCTTGCATCAAGCAAGTCTATTGGTGCCATTTCTCCAACAGCATATGCTCACTTTGTGTCTCTGTGCTACATTTTAATAATTCTCACAATTTTTCAAACTTTTTCATTATTATTATCTGTTATGATGACCTGTGATCAGCAATCTTTGATGTTACTATTGTAATTGTTATAGGGTACCATAAACTGCACCCATATAAGGAAGTCAACTTAATCCATAAACGTCGTATGTTCTGACTGCTCCACTGACTAGATGTCCCCACCTTGTCTCTCCCTCTCATAGGGCCTTTCTATTCCATGAGACACAATAATACTGAAATTTGGCCAATTAAAATTGCCACTCCGTTGAACACATGAATGATAAGAAAGTAAAATAGCCTTTTGGCTGATGAGGATAAATTTTTAGTGGTCTGGATAGAAGATCAAACTAGCTACAACATTCCCTTAAGCCAAAGCATAATTCAGAGCAAGTCTCTACCTCTTCAAATCTATAAAGCCTGAGAGAGACAAGAAAGTTGCAGAAGAAAAGTTGGAATCTAGCAGAGATTGATTCATGAGTTTAAAGGAGAAAAGCCATCTCTATAACATAAAAGTGCAAGGTGAAGTAGCAAGTGCTAATGTAGAAGCTGCAGCAAGTTGTCCAGATGAGCTAACTGACATCATTGATGAAGGTGGCTACAATAAACAGATTTTCAATGTAGATGAAACAGCCTTCTATTGGAAGAAGATGGCATTTATGACTTTCATAGCTAGAGAGGAGAAGTCAATGACTGGCTTCAAAGCTTCAAAGGACAAGTTAACTTTCTCATTAGGGACTAATGCAGCTGGTGACTTTATGGGGAAGCCAATGCTGATTTGCCACTTCAAAAACCCTAAGACTGTTAAGAATTATGCTGCATTTACTCTGATGGTGCTTTATCAATGGAACAACAAAGACTGGATGACAGCACATCTGTTGGCAGTATAGTTTACTAAATATTTTAAGCCCACTGTTGAGACCTACTGCTCAGAATATAAAAGATTCCTTTCAAAATAGTATTACTCATTGACAATGCACTGATGCACCCAAGTGCCTGATGGATATATACAAGGAAATTAATGCTATTTTCATGCTTGCTAACACAAAATCCTTTCTGTAGCCCATAAAATCAAGGAGTACTTTTGATCAAGTTTTATTATTTAAAAAAAACAATTTTAAAGCTATAACTGCCATAGATAATGATTCCTCTGATGGATCTGGGCAAAGTAATTTGAAAACCCACTGGAAAGGGTTCACCATTCTAGATATCATTAGGAATATTTATGGTTCATGGCATGGGAGGAGATAAAAAATATCAACATTAACAGGAGTTTTGAATAAGTTGATTCCAATCATCATGAATAATTTTGAGGGGTTCGAGACTTCAGTGGAAGAAGTTACTGCAGATGTAGTAGAAATACCAAGGCAACTATCATTAGATGTGGAGCCTGAAGAAGTGACTGAATTGCTGTCATCTCATGATAAAACTTGAATGCATGAGAAATTACTTCTTATGGATGAACAAGTGGGTCCTTTAGATGGAATATACTCCTATTGAAGATGTCATAATCTTTGCTGAAACAACAATAAAAGATTTAGAATATTACATAAATTTAGTTAATAAAGCAGTAGCAGGGTTTATGAGGATTGACTCCAATCTTAAAAGAAGTTCTAATGTTAAAAAACAAAGCTATCAAATAGCATTGCATGCTCTTGAGAAATATTTCATGAAAGGAAGATTTGATTGATGCAGCAAACTTTATTACTATATTATTTCTAAAAATTTCCACAACAATCCAAATCTTCAGCAACCACCATCCTGGTCAGTCAGCAGCTATCAGCATCAGGGCAAGACCCTCAGCAAAAAGACAATGACTTACTGAAGGCTCAGATAATTGTTACCTTTTTTTTTTTGTTTTAAGCAACAATGTATTTTCAGTTTAGGTATATACATTGTTTTTAAAGACCTACTGCTATTGCACACTTAATAGACTACAGTATAGTGTAAATATAGCTTTTGCATGTACTAGGAAGCCAAAAAATCTGTGTGACTCACTTTATTACAATATTCATTTTATTGCAATGGTCTGGAAATAAACCCACTATCTCCAAGGTATGCCTGTTCATGTTCAATATAAGACATTTTTAAAAATTCAGAAAACATGCCGAATAGATTTTCCAACTGGGCAAGATCTCAAATTTGGTCTCTTGTTATTCACTTTGATTATACTTGCAAACCAGCTAATTTTTTCCTGAGCTCATATCTTTCTCCTCAGTCCTTCCTGAATGAAATCATAAGTAACCAGAGCACATTCCTAGCATGTTGTTTTCCATGCTAGCCCTCCAGAGATAAAAATTCAACAGATATAGAGCCTGACTTTGAGTTATCACAGGTGATGGCTTCACTAAATATTTTGTCTCTGACTTATATCACTACCTTTCAGATTCCAAAATCAATTTCATTGCCACCTGCCCCATGACTGCAAAGCCACTGATAAATATTTTGGGTCTTTCTATGCCAGCACCAATTTCCAGAAAGCAATTTATATGTTAGTTAAGGCAATTAACATTAGCTTCTGCAAAAGATTAGCCTTGAAATTTCAGTGGTTTATCACACTGAAAATTTAGTTCTCAATCATATCATTACAAAATCATTGCAAAAAAGGCTGGATATTTTCTGTGGTTTTAGAAAGTCCTGGTCTGTATGCAGCTGATATCAATTGTATCTGCATCTCATCAGGCTGAACCCAATCACAAGTTCCTTGAACATAATTTCAATGAGGGTGAGAAACGTAGAGGAGCATGGATGTATTTGAGATGGCGATGGTCTTTACCACATCCTGGCTTTATCCTTTTCTTCTTTTCCTTCCCTCCCTCCCTCCCTTCCTCCTTCCCTCCTTTCCTCCCTTCCTCTTTTCTTTCCTTCTTTCTTTCCTTCCTTCCTTCCTTCCTCCTTGTTTTTATTGGTGTGTGTATATCTATAAACATACACATATATATGTAATATATATTGTGTACATATATAATATATGTAATAAAGAAATAACTCCAGTATGTTATATGTATTATATAAATGTAATTATATGAATATAATTCCCTAATATATTTAAAACTATATCTGACCCTCAGTTGCCAATTGACCAGAAGTCTAGTAATCCCCATTCCAAATTGCTCAAGTATTCTAGCATTAAATGATACCAACACTTAGAAAGGATAAATACTCAAAGTGATGGATACCTCAAATACCGTGATTGACTTGATAATTTCACATGCCTTGTATTAACAAACACTCACATGTACCCCATAAATATGTAAAATAGTATGTATCAATAAAATAAAACATAGCAAATACAAAAAAATAGAGAATTATAGCATGAGACTCAAACAAAACAAAAATACCAGATTGAAGATCCAGAATCACCAATCTTTCCTTGAAACAAGATTATTAAAAATGTAAACTAATGTCAAGTTATGAAAATCTGAAAGGCTGAACAGATTCATCTCTATACTTCAAGTGGAATAGACCTTCAGAAAAAAATAACTGATGGAAGAGAACTCTAAATTCAGTATAGGTTAAGATGACAGCCTACATTTTAAGGAGATCATCAATGAAAGATAAGTCAGTTATTACAAAATTCTAAGTGGCTGAAATCATAAACAAAATATTTCAGATGACTAAGAGAAGGCACTGATATTAAAGTAGGATGCGTGTGGTGTGATACTGGGATTTTTTCCTTCCATCTCTGGTCTACATTCTTGACCTCTGTAAATGGGCAAATTATGTAAGATTCAGGAAGACAGATAAAATTCTTGTTACGTACAAACACCAAATGATTGTGGACATGATTGCCTTGAGTACTCTGTGAAAGATTCTGAGGATCCCTTGGAGCTTAGTAGAAAAGAATAAGGACATGGAATTAGAATCTGGGCGGTATTGGAGATGTGGTGGGGAAAGGAGGAGTAGAGTGGAGGCTCCATGCATTTTTAAAGCTCTTTCAGCCCATATTATTCTGTAATTCCACACTTGGGCATTTTGTTCTCATGAGATTGCTAGTGTCTGGAGTCCTTTGTTCTATTCTGGAAGTTCAGAGATGTATTATAACTCCTATAAGCCTGAGCATTGGCCCTGAAACTCTAAACCATAGCCTGATCCAACCCTAAGCTGGAATCCACTTCAGCCTGCTACTTAGATCCCACCTCTCAAATCCTGGAGTTCCCTGAGCTCCATTTTTAATTCTTACTTTGATGATCTATTCCCTTTCTTTGCCCTTCTTTCCTTCCTGACTACCTGACTTTCTTCCTTTACTAATCAACTGTTTTCCAGTTCTTGCTATCTGCCAGGCCCTGTGTAAAATGTTGAATGTAAAATCATAACCAATGTCTCCCTCCTCAGTGGTCTTAAAATTGAGTGGAGACTGTGTTCTGGCTTTTCCCTAGCTGTCTTTGGACCTTAAGCAGGTCAATGCTATACTCTTAGCTATACTTTCTTTATTCTTTCATGTATTCATTCAGCAGATATTGTCTTAGCTTGGTCCCCCTAGAAAATAGGATTGAGGCAAAAGCTATGAGTTAACACGCTACTGGGGTATGAAATCACATAAAAACTGAAGAGAGGAAGAAGGGAAGTGAGACAGAGACGAAGGGAATAAAAAAGTGTGCATTACTGAACTGACCACAGCTTCCCACTAAAGGCAGATGAAGGCTCACTCATGGAGAGCATCTTCAGAGTGACTGTGAAGTATCACATCTTTGAACAGTTTGTCCAGGGGAGAAAAGAAACAAATGTATCCACTGGCTGTCTCCTACCTTGTTCAAAGTCCATCCCAAGTGACATTGATGATTTTTTCATACTTCTAGGTCCTTTTAAGGTTGCCAAGGGGCAATTCAAGGGCTCCGTGGATCTGGTGCAACCATGTACAGTTGCAGTAGACAGTCTTCCAGATCGTTGGGTGCTCTTTCAAACCAGCAGGCAGCTTCCCCAGTAGGTTGGCTGATGACCAAGCAAACTGTGTGAGCCACTGGGAGTGCTGCTTTGAGAGGAAAGCAGGCTACAGCCTTGAGAGAAGGAGAATTAAGCAAGGAGGTTCTAAAGTGACCCATAATCAGAATCTGATTTAGCTACCAAGATAATATTGCTTCAGAGGTAAACTTTCTCTGTGCTTGTGGAGTTCACAGTTCAGTAATAAAAATGAAAAAATAAACTTGTGAATTAAAATGCTAGTCTGGAGGCATAAAGTTCTATGTCTTGATGAGACTTGGGAAGACATAAAGCAGGAGACATTTGTGGTATGTTTGGTAGAATTAGCAGGCATTTTTATTTGTAAAAGATAAACTATAATTGAATCAACATCATTCAAAACGTGTTTCACTAAATTAGGGTCTCATGGTGTGGCAGACATTGCTGACTGGTTCATTAGTTTGTACTTCAAAATCCCTAACATAGACCTATAGGACAAAGGATGAAAAGGTAAAATGTATACTTCCCAGACTCCCTCTAGGAAGTGATCTAAGTTTTGCCATACCTATGCACCTGTGAGAAAAGTGGACATGATCAATGTGGGGAAACCATGTCTTCCAGAAATATGACAGTGGAGGTGCTACACACCACCTCCTAGAAACACAGATTCAGAGTGCCAGGTAGTAGTGGTAGCAGTGTGGCCAACAGTAGCATTTAGTGGTATATTTGGTATCTCCTGGATGCATTATTCTAGGCTCTGCACTATACGCTCTTGGCTTCTGGCCTTCCTGGAAATTTTGTAACCCATCTAACAAATATCTTTCTGTTTATTCTATATAAGTGAATTCTGTGGTCTGTAACCCAGAACGCTGAAGAATGCCTAAGAAATGCTAAAAGTCATTTTGTGATATTATATGATCATATACATCGAGAGAGAGTTAAAAATGTGTTTTTGGAAGTATTTCTTAGAGCTGATAAAGTGGTGGTTTTTAAGCTGAATCATTTTTCCAGGTACCACCCATTTTTGAGACTTTGATTAGAATTAGACATATAGGAATATTTAAGATAGTTTCAAATAGCCATTGATTTAAGCAATAAATATTTCCAGCCAGGTTAGTAAGAAGAAGCAATGATATAATTTATTTTTCAACAGCTCCATCATAAAGCGTCAGCAGTTAGTATTGACTGTTAGTGTAGGTTCAATATCTTGCAAATTTTTAATAACTTAAAATTTTATTGGCATTTATTGATTGTTTACATACACCATTATTTCATAAGATGTAAATTCATGGTATATTATTTTTTCTTAATCTTTTCAAAATCCATAAAATGTCAATCTGGAATAATTATAGGTAGCGCAAATAACGAATGACTTTAAGTGACAGAAGTTTTATAGCTTCTGGAATTGAGTCGTGTCATAAGCTTACCCTGCTGAAGTGTTTTCTGCTCCCAGAGAATCTGCTTTGAGCCTGAAGCTGATCTTCCCTTCCTGTCTAAGAGGGAGTTAATGGAAGAGCTAACTAGTCTAATTACTTGCAAACATAATTGTCCATAATTTGAAGAAAGCAAATATCGTACTCTCTGAAGCTTATAGGAAAGAGAGGAAAGGTTCTTATTAACCAGTAGAACTGAAGGAGGTGAGCTTCCTTTGTCACCTCTCTTTCAAGGAAGCTTCAAACACTTCACACTGAGGGAAAACAAAGGCGTTAGAAAAATAATTGCAGCATGACGCTAGTAACTACTGTGAGTGGTGACCAGCTAAGAGAATTGGTCAAGCTCAGGAAGTTCAACAAGGCATACATGTTTGGATCAGCTTATAAACTAGCTGCATTACAATCCAAGTCACTATTGAGGTCCACCAGGCTGTATGCTCTCAGTGTCTGTGAACTATCTCTGGAATCTTATAATAAATCCTCCTGCTTTGCTTAAAGTAGTTCAAGTGGGTTTATTTCACTTGAAACCAAAGAGTGCTAACTAATAAAAGACTAGAGCAACCAATTCAGATATAACCTTTGAAGAAAGATATATTCTCTTTTTTAAGCATTAAGTTTCCAGCTTTGAGAGAGAGAATAAATGGTGAAAGGGTACATTTGTCCTAAGATAAAAAATTCAGCTTCTCCAGAAAATCTGTTTGATTATCTTAGGGCTACATTGCCAATGGGTGCTCTGAGCAGCTAGAGACAAAAGTCTTTTAAGTAGCACAGGGTGCATCTCCACAATGGTCAATTAGACTATGGAAAATAACGTCTCAGAATTAATTAAACTTACTCTAAATACCTTATGTGCATTTCTGCAAAATGCAGAACAAAAGAATTCAGCAATTTGTCTCTAACAGCCAGTTGCTATTAATTAATTAATTCAGTTTAATTATGTTAAGTGTGACTGTGTATGCAGACTGCTGTGTGATCTGGTTAAGGAACCAAAACCAGACAGGTAACTTACTTTGGGAAATTTATAATTTTTGAGTCTACATTTCTATCCTAAAATAAATCGATGCATACTTTCTTACTTCATTCTCTTACCTTCCTTGAATAAATCATATTCTGGAGTCATAACCCTTGAATTTCGGGCAATACTACCCAGGCAAGTAAAAAGCACGTGTGTGGTTCAGTGATCCAGGGAAAGCCAATTTCTTTTCTAAATTTGTTTTAAGAGACATCTTAAAACAAAAGCAAAGCAATACATGACTGTAAAGGAAACAGAAACAGACTCTTGAAGCTATTTTTATCTCTAAGAGCTATGACTTCATAACTCCAAGAGATAAATGTAAAAAAGAAGAAAGAAAACCTTCATGTGAATGAAGAAGAAAGGTGTCTACTGAAAATTAATATTTATAAAATATTTTTCCTATTGCTGCCTCTAAAATTTTGTCTGCGCTAAAAATCTTTTTTGAATGAGAAATTCAAATTGGTAGGTTTTCTTTATATATACTAGCGCTTTTTTTGTTTTGTTTTGTTTTCTCTTTTGATTCTTTGCAAATGGGTCTAATCCAGTTCACTTCTCTAATAGGTAGATTAAATGATAATAAAATGATAGGTGCTCCAGCACTGTAACTAGTGGGTAGTTTTTATAAGTAGAGCTTTGGGGTTGGCCTGATTTCACTTCCCAAAGCTGTGCAATATTTGGCAACTAACTGGTTTCTTACTGATAGTTTAAGAATACTATTAATAATTCATGTAAAAATGCAAGGAGTTTTAACCATTTTTAATTATGTTAGTTCATTTACTCACTTAGCAAGTATTTGCTGATTGAGCCCGGTGTGCCAGGTAATATTTTAGGCTTTAAGGATGCTTCAGTGAGCAAGACAAGATCTGTTCCCTCAGAAAGCTTACTTACTACTGAGAGAGACAAATGTTAAATAGGAATAAATAAATATATGCTGTAATAATTGGAAGTGACCTTTTACATCAAGAAAGACATTCATTTAAGTAGAGCTCCTTACCTAAATGCCATATAATATTAACAGGATATGCTGACCAGGAGGAATTACCAGGCTTAGATGATGGACTAGAAGGATCCTGATAGTCTTCACTCATGATCTTGCCCTATTAACCAAATAGATGCAGAAAAAAACAAAAAACAAACAACAACAAAAAAACAACCTTGAAGAGAACAGTGGAAGTCAAACTACTTGATGTTTCAAATGTTGTCGATTTTGAAACCTTTGTCAAAACAAGCACTCTGAGCAGCAGATATATTAGACCTATAAAGGGGAAATTGTTAATTTTTGATTTAACAATTTACTTCAAAATTTTTTGAAGTAGGTTGACAAAAAAATACAATTCGCCAATATTTCTAAAACTGAACATTCTTTTTTCCTCTAAGGAAATTATCAAAATAGTATTGACTATGCAATGAAAATTATTATGAATATTTAATTAATAATAATAAAAGTAATTGTAATAAAAATAGCTAACATGTATTGAAAGCTTACTATGTGTCACATTGTTGCTAAGCACAATCTCAATGAATTCTTAAAACACTATGAGTTATTCATCATCACCATCTTCAATTTAAAGATGAGCAAATCAAGACTTACAGAAGTTCAATATCCTCCCCAGGACACATAGCTGGTAGAGGTGACTGTCAAATGCTGTTCGGTTTATTTTAGAACTCTAAGGTGCTTTGCCAAAGCCTATTGATCTTACTGGAGGTTTTTCTTCATTACTTATTCTAGAAAATATCATTTATTTAGAATCTCAGTGTATTAAGCATCTTAAATATAGTGCCTTTCTTAATTATGTAAAAAATATGATGATATATATTAGTCAAGCTATTGGTAGATAACAAGACTTTCCAAAAGTCAGTGGCAAACAACAATAGGAACTTATTTTCTTGCCCATAGGTTTGCCAGTCAGGCTGGGAGTCAGCTGATATACTTTGGGTTCAATTCGGGTTGGCTCCAAGGCATGAGTCATCTAGATATGCTTTATATGGCTTTCCTTTTCTTTGTACAATTTGGCTACCTTGAGTATGTGTTTCTCACGATTGTGACAGAAACACAGGAGAGCTAGCCTTTGTTCTCATCGGCCTAATAAAATTCCTTTGGCCAAAGTAAGTTACATGGCCAAGTCTAATATCACTGGAGTGAGGAAATATATCAGCCCTTAGTGAGAGCAATTGTAAAGGCAAAGGACATGGATACAAGAAAGATAAAGATTTGGTGACAATGATGCAATCTATCACAGATAGCTATAGTATTACAGATGAGGAATTAGAGACTGATGTGACTTATGAAACTTGATTTTAGTAAGTTTGCTCTTAACTGAAGCAGCAAGCTTTTTCTGCCTATTCTCAAAGAAGAAGAGCTTTCCAGTATTAAAAGATGTTAAGAAACAAAAGAAGGAACTTGAAAGAGCTTATGGTATATGCCTCTCAATTTTATCTGTGTCCTTTGCAATAGCTAATCTTGTTCCTATCCACAGTACATGGTCAATCAATGTATGATGATCATGAAATAGCCATCAAGGGCTCCAATTAAACCAGAAGCAAATGCACAGAAATGATAGTGTTGAACGGGACGTTTTTGTGGGCTTCTTTTCTGTACTAATGGAGTTTATATAAAAGAAATTTTAATAAGTAATGCAGAAGTGGAGTTGGCCTTTGAGCAAAAAAATCCATAGTTTTAAGGGATTTAAGGATAGATAATTAAAATGAAATGCTAGCATTCCTTAAGGAGAATTGCTATAATAAGCAACTTAAAGCAAACCTCTTATTCTTTGTTTTTACTAAGAAAATACGAAACAAACAAACCAAAGACAAGATAAATCATGATTATAGGCTTGAGATTCTTAAATGAGGGCAAACTTGGCTCTTGATTTCTCACTCTTCTAGAGATGTAAATCTGAGGCTTATTCCAGATGGTGTTAGCTTGATGTGCTCTCAATTCAGTAAGTTTCATTACAATTGATGCCAAGAAAACCAATGTTGCAGGGCAGATACAATTATTCTACAACTAAGAGAGATCTTTTGGGTTCATTGCACTTCAAACACATAGAAATTAGTGACAATATATAGGGATGTTAACTCTTTAAAAGTGGGTGAGAAGCCAGAAGAGATGCCATCTGAAGAACGAGTCAATAACCACAACAATAAAAGTTAATGTTTATCAAGTGCTTACTATGAAACAGTTAATACTGCACTATTCGAATCTGCAGGATTACATTTATTTCTAGTAATAACCATTTATTCTTTCATACATTAAATAAATACATGGTGATCATCTATTCTTTCCCAGAATCTGTGCTAATTGCTGACAATAAAATGGTGAACAAATGCAAGCATAATCCTTGTCCTTATAGAGTTTATGGTCTAACCAAATAATCACAGAAATAATTATCAGACTGTAACTGTATTATGTGCTATACAAATGAAGTTAATGGGTAATGATATCTGGCTGAAGAGGTCAGGAAATGCTTCCCTGAGAAAGTAATTTGAATTGAGATCTGAAGTACAAGGATAATTTAATTATGGGGAAGAAGAACATTTGGTCAGGGGAAAGCTACATGTGTGCAAAGACTCAACGGAGAAGCTGAGGAGCTGTGACCTCTAGAGTGGTGTTTGAAGAAAGGCAGAGAAGGATGAGGCTGGAGAAGAGATGGGGGGTCAGACCATGCAAGTCCTGGTTGGTAGATAAAAAGGTTTTTGTCTTTATTCTAAAAATAATGAGAAGCCATTGAAGAGCTAGAGAAGAAAGAGTCAGTGCAAGTGATATTATCATATTTTCAAACCGTGTAGCTGCTAGGTAAAGATGGGATTGGGTAGAAAATGGGAAGGCTGAATGCAGATAGACTACTTCAGTAACTACTGTAGTTATCTAAGCAATAAATGAGTAAAGCTTGGACTAGTGGGATGGCGGCAGAGGAAAAGATAAACACCATAATTCAAAATTCTAAGATGAATTTAAAACATGTTTAACACCTCTGAAATCAGGATGCTTCTTAAGTCTCTGTGCTGTATTTAGCCTTTCAATCGTCATTGCCTATGCAAGTGCATGAAAATTTGCAAAATGCAAAAGATAATAGAACAACACTCTTAGAAAAGGTACACAGCCAAAATTCTTGATGGTACAGATGACAATATTTTGTAAAAAGCCTTGGTCATTTAGGACCCTTGAGTCAAGCAATGTATCAATTGGTGGCATTTCTTCTTTCTTAGAGGTACTGAAAATAATGGGGCATGTTACACTTGATTGGATTTTAGATTCAATGAAATGTGACAAAGACATTGGGAAGTTAAATTGTCAAAGAATATAGTTAGGTATTGACTATGGAAAATAAAAGAGAATGACTTTTAAGTTCCTGGCTTGTTCAAATGGTTGAATGGGGAAAAAATGGTTGAATGGGAATGCAAATCATAAAAAAAAAAAAAAGAGAGAGAGAGAAATATATAGGAGAGTGTAAGGATTAAAAACATGAGCTTAATGTTAGCTATTTTGAACTTGAGAAAACTTTGAGACATAAAAGAGAATACTCTATGAAATAATTGAATATAATCATCTAGAATTCAGATGAGAAATATAAAATTAAGAATCAAGAGATATATACCATACCAATATTGGAACAATATTGTTCCAATATTGGTAAACAAATCGAGATAAGAGTAATTAAGAAAATTGTCAAAGATCATACAATTTATAGGGGGCAAGAGATAAATACCATACCAATGGTAAACAAATCAAGATAAGAGTAATTAAGAAAATTGTCAAGGATCATACAATTTATAGGGGGCAGAGATTGTATAGGTCTGATTGCAGTGCCTGATGCGCTAAGACACACACAAAATAAAACTTGGAGAAATACTTCATCAAACAGTTAACCAACCACTGATTAAGAAATGTATGGAACTGGGCTGGGCGCGGTGGCTAACGCCCATAATCCTAGCACTTTGGGAGGTAGAGGCAGGCAGATCACGAGGTCGGGGTTCAAGACCAGCCTGACCAAGATAGTGAAACCCCATCTCTACTAAAAATACAAAATTAGCTGAGCTTGGTGGCAGGCACTGCTAGTCCCAGCTACTTGGGAGACTGAGGCAGGAGAATCACTTGAACCTGGGTGGCAGAGGTTGCATTTGAGCATCTTATGTCAGGTACAGAGTAGATCGTGGCTTGCTAACCCTGTAAAAATGATTGGAAAATATAATTAGGGTGTATAGATCTGACAATCATCAAGTAAAATTGTCCTTGTTCATCAGTTTAATTATGAAAGATTGTGCCACTGCACTCCAGCCCGAGCAACAGAGCAAGACTCCGCCTCAAAAAAAAAAAAGGAATGTATGAAACTCTGTTATATACCTTATTCGATCTCACAAGTAATTACACAAATGTAAACTAAGATAAGAATGAGATACTATGTTGTCTGTCACATTATTACCAATAAAACAAGAACAAGAGCAATAAAAACAACAGCAACAAAACCCAATGAGATTACTCATAGTTGCTGGGTGTGATTAGATTCTTCCATTGTCATGTCAGATATTACGGATAAGTTGGGAGAAGCAAATGAACAACATATATCTAAACAATTTAAAGTGCCTATATTTTATCTCGAGATTTCTCTTAAGGATTCAGTCAAAGAAAACAATCTGAATGACATAAAGAATTTTACACATACATGGCCGGGCGCAGTGGCTCACACCTGTAATCCCAGCACTTTGAAAGGCCGAGGCGGGCGGATCACGAGGTCAGGAGATCATCCTGGCTAGAGTGGCGTGAACCCAGGAGATGGAGCTTGCAGTGAGCCGAGTTTGTGCCACTGCACTCCAGCCTGGGCGACAGAGCAAGACTTCATCTCAAAAAAAAAAAAAAAAAAGAATTTTACACATGCATGTAAACACACATTCATCACAAATTTATTTAAAATACTGAAAGGTTGGAAAACTTCTATATAACAAAAAATAATTGATTAAATTACTGCACATTAATGTAGTGAACATTATACAATTGTTAATGTCTTTAAAATATTATAAATGTGGAAATACATTAAAAATTAACACAGAAAAAGTAATTATAGTATATATTAAATAGGGTTACAAAGAAGGCTTTGACAACATAAACATGAAATAAAGAAAATTTCATAAATTATCAGAACCTGTCAATATTGAATATAAATTTATGATGTCAAAGAAAATTAACATTTAAGAACAATAGAAATAAAAGAACTATGTGTGACAGAAAGGAACATATGGAACACGTATATGTAAATGATTATTCATTGTAAATAGATAGGTGGTAATTTGTCATTTCCGAGCCTCAAATTCCATTGTACATTTTTTCTTTTCTTTTTCTGCTTTTTCTTCATCTTTTCCTTTTTTCTTCTTTTCTTTTTCTAATTTTTTTTTCTTCTTTTGTTTTCAAAGGGGCGTAGGCAGTAATGAGAGGACACTTACTTTGTTTTACTATAGTTTTTGTTTTTGTTTTTTGTAACTACTACTCTTGGCTCATGTTCAGGATCCTAGGACCAATTTCTAATTCAGACATCCTCAACTGCCTCTCATGTCAAGAGCCAATTGAGATGATATCAATCAATGCCCAGCATAAGCACTGTCAACCCAGCAAGCTTCAGCCTGTCTGAACAGATGGGGCTTGAATCTCTGGACTCATTTACCTTCCAAGCCCTTCCTCTTCTCTGGCAAAACACTGGGATACTGCTATAGTGAAGCCAAATGGCCTGCATTTTTGTTCACAGATTGTACATTGTTCTTTTCTTTGGCACCATGGCTTTAGCCACTTATCATCTTTATGGAACTGATTCAAAAAGATTTGTATGACTAATCCACATTGCTAAATAATCTGTTATGGTCTAATCCTTGGCAATTCTCAATTTATCCAGAATTCATGAGGAAGATGAATGTCATTGGCTTGAAAGCCATGAGAAGTGAATGCTGACTGTATTCTGCCTGTCTGAAATAAATCAGAATACATACTAATCTCTGTTTTTCCATGATTATCTTTGGTTAAAAAGAAAAAGGATAGTTGAATTAAACTATCGAGCATCTTATGACATGTACAAAGTAGATCGTGGCTTGCTAACACCACAAAAATGATTGGAAAATATAATTAGAGTGTATAGATCTGACAATCATCAAGTAAAATTGTCCTTGTTCATCAGTTTAATAATGAAATGACTATTTTTTAAGAATTTTATTTCCCTCACTTCTGAAGTCAGTGCAATGCTGTTCTCCCTGAAATAAAAATAGAATAACTGAGCTCTGAGTACTATTAATAGAGGCATACCAAGAAGAAAAATAACGGACTCAAAAGGGGCTGATTGTTTTTCATAAAAGTGTTTTTCATAGTTTACCTGACATATGTGAAAGACAGCATGCTAAAAATTGGGAATGTCACACCAAGGAATCTTATATATTACAAGTCACAAACCAGTGACAGACAGACTGAATTCAACTTGCAGATGGCTTTTGCATATCATAAGGTTCATTTTCATTGTTTTTTTTAAGTTATCACAATAAAAACTTAGAAAATTTCAAATAAAATTTAAACCATTCTGTCATGGAAACAACATTTAACCCACATTAAGATTTGTCTACTATAAAGTCTCTAAGATCATATAATATGTATAAATTAATAATCTTTTTTTCACATATCAGTTTTTAGATTTAAAAATTATTTTCCACCATTTTTCCATTATATTGTCATTTTTCCTCTTAAGTATACATCCCTCCAAATTATTTTTGTTTATTGTGTATGTCTAATTCCATAAGATAAATACCAAGTTCTTTTATTTTTCATCTTGTTTGGAAAACAAAGGCATTCAAGGCTATCCATTTTCTCAAGTGTATTTCTTATATGTTTTGATATAAGATATTCTCCTTTTCTTTCATGCCCATAATTCTTAATATCAGTTTTGATTTTTCTTTTTAATCTAAGTTATTTATTAGCATCTTTCAAACTGCTAGGATTTTTTAACACCCTTAAATTATTTATTTCTAATTTGATTGGTTCAAAATCAGGAAATATGCCCTGAAAAAAAAGTCAAAATATTTTTAAAAGTATAGTTTTTTAATGAAGGCAAACATCAAATAAAATTCTGAATATTCTTTGATGGCTGTAATATAATATAATATTATATTATATTATATTATATATTCCTTAAATCAAACTTATTGATTGCACCATGAAAGTCTTCTGTTATAAATTCACAATTCTTTTTAAAAATTTTATATTTTTAACAGCGTTTCCTTAGGTAGTTAGGTGCTATATTGTTTGAAATACATAGTTCATGACTTTTAGGCCATCATGTTGAATTTTGCTTCTTATCATTACACAATGATCTATCTTAGCCATTTTTTTGTCCTTGCAACATTAAATGCCACCTTTTCTGGCATTATTATTTCCATTATGGTTATCTAGTTATAGCAATTCTTTAGTATCTCTATGCCTAGCTATACTAGTTAGGACACAGGTTGGGCTCCTCTAAAAATAGACAGTTATTTTCATCTCACAAATATGAAGGTAAGTGGTCTGCAGTTTAGTTGATAGCTCAATAGTGTTAAGGTCCAAGGCATCTATCTTCTCAATTCAGAGTCCATCTTGAATTCAGAAATAGTTCATCTTCTTCTATCACATCCACATTTCAGCTAATAGGATGGAAAAAAGAACAAATGGGTAGATAGGACCCTCACTTTCAAGGGAATGACTTGCAAGGTGAAAACATCATTGTCTTTTTTATCCATTAGCTAATAGCTTATATTTTAACATTTCCTTATTTTTGCTGATTTAGCTAAGCAATTTAATTATTTTACACCATGGAATACTATGCAGCCATAAAAAAGGATGAGTTCATGTCCTTTGTAGGGACATGGATGAAGCTGGAAACCATCATTCTGAGCAAACTATTGCAAGGACAGAAAACCAAACACCGCATGTTCTCATTCATAGGTGGGAATTGAACAATGAGAACACTTGGACACAGGGTGGGGAACATCACACACTGGGGCCTGTTGTGGTGAAGGGGAGGGGGGAAGGATAGCATTAGGAGATATACCTAATGTAAATGGCGAGTTAATGGGTGCAGCACACCAACATGGCACATGTATACATATGTAACAAACCTGCACGTTGTGCACATGTATCCTAGAACTTAAAGTATAATTAAAAAAAACTATTTTCTCCCTGGATAATTTACAAGTTATGCTATATATTTCTACTCTTTTTTTAGGTACATAACCTCTAAAATATAAGCTTAAAAAATTAGCTTAATTCCTACACAAAGATGCTCTTTTGTAATAAAAAATACATTTCTGCCCAAAGAGAGACCTGGCCTTTGCACCCAGTTTCTTTGGGGTAACCTGAAAACCCTCGTAATTTCTCAATAATAGAAATGACTTTGTTATTCAGTGGGCTCTTTCGACTACATTTAATCGTTTATGCTAATGAGATGACTTCTGTCGGGCCCCTTAGATAGTGTATGCAAATAAGATGGCTCAGGATAGGGGCTGGCCACATTAGAAAGAGCAACCATGTGATTAGAGTTCTGGCACTTGGAGCCACATAACATCAGCCCGTTCCCCTCCAGGGAAGGGTGGTAGTAGTGGAGACTCAGTCCAACCACATGAACAGCAACACACCCAACCTACCTCGCTGATCAAGCCTCAGGCTTGAAACTCTGGACACCAAAGCTGCGGTGAGCTGCTTGGGTTGCCAATACCCTCTGTATGTATCTCCATACATCAACTCTGGGAGGATAACACAACCCTGAGAATATGGAATCTTTGTGTTCAGAACACTTGCAGTCTTAATTTCTGCCCTATGCGTCCTTTCCTATGGCTGGTTCTGATTTGTATCCTTTTGCTATAATAAAACTGCAATCTTAAGTACAGCACTTTCTTGAGTTTTGTGAGTTTTTCTAGCAAATCATCAAACATGAAGAAGTCCATGGAGACCCTCAAATTTGTAGTAAATTGGTCTGAAGTTAGGATGGCTCTCAGGACATCTGAATTTGTGGCTGGTGTCAGAAGTCTGGGCAGACTGAGAAGATTTATAGGACTGTGTCTTAACTGTGAATTTGCCTAATTCTCTGTAATCTATTTCACTGCTTCTCCTCCACTCTCCTTAATAAACTGAGACCATAAGAACACTTTCACTACTCTCTCTCATACTATCTCTCCCTCCAAATGAAGTGATTAAAATGGTTTACACCCCCTCTTTTTCCTACTCTTACCTCAATTCTTTCTGACAACGTTTATTACTCTTATTTCTGAATTATTACTAGAATTTATCTGGAATGTGTTTCCTGTATTTCAGGAACCTTAGTTTAATATTACATTGCTATTTCCAAATGATCTGTCACTACTCATTTACATTTAACTGTAAGCTTTATGCTCATCATTTATTTCCTTCCCAATTCATTTTTTTTCTGTCTTGAGTTCTTGTTTCTCCTAACATTTGTTTAATAATTCAAGTTTTTCAACATTTTTCTCAAATGTGGTATAAGAGTAGAGGTCATTCATTCCCATTTTCCTAGGAAGTACTATTGCTTTGGTGTGGATTATTGATAGTGTCATCTTTCACATTCAGTTAGAATGATAAATTATATGCCAGTCCAATTTTCCTAGAAAGTCCTAGTTTATGCTTGTTGCTGTGGTATAATCATTAAGAGTGCCATCTTTCACTATCAGCTGGAATGATAAATTATATATTATTGCCCTATGTAAGGGGACACACATTTTAAATTCTCAATTATCTCTGTATGTATGTATGTATGTATGTATGTGTGTATGTATTTATCTGTCTATCTCTCTATTCTATCTATCTATCCATCTAATATCTGTCTATTTTGCTCTTACATGTTAATACATTGACAAGGTATAGGTTTCTGGGGTTTTAACTCTTATGTATTACTCATTTGTATTTAATTCCACCATTTTCTAGTTTATTGTACTATTGTAAGTACTTTGATTTTTCTTTTTGAGCCTTTAAGAGCTGCTTCCCTTTATCTTTAAATTTAGAAATTTTTATGCCTAAGTCCATGGTCTTTTTTATCACTCATCCCAGGAAATCAGTACATCTTTTAAATTTATAAAATTAAATCTTCTGTTATCCCAGGGATATTTTTGTTGAATGAATGTTAAATTAGCGTAACCCCTACATCTGTTCCTCTTTCTTATTCTGGAAATTCTATTATTGGCATGTTATATCCCAGATCTATCCTTAGAGTCTTTTATCTTTTTCATCAATATCTCCATTTAAAAATGTTTGCTCTAAGTTTTCTTTGATCTTCTAGGATACTAATTCAGTTCTCAACCAAGGCCATACTTTCTTTGGTTGACTTATCAAATTGTTTAGTTTGGAATCATGTTTTTTTTATTTTTTTAATTTAAAAAAGTTATTTCTATGAGTCTTCATTTGAAACTTAAGTGTTCATAATATTTTTCTATTCAAGTTGACATTTTTTTCCTCCAACAGCTATTTTTTTCTCTGCAGCTGTGAGAACTCCTTTAATATGCTATGACTTTTTTTTTTTTTGACTGAGCACAGGGGACTTTATTGATGGTACACGACAAGGTGGGGCTCCCCCAGCCCCTCCCTCTCCAGGAGGTCTGAATGGAAACTGTGAGGAAGGGAGATTCTCAGTGAGGTGGGGGACTGAGTGTGACAGGGACTCCCCAGCAGTGAGCCTCTTTTTCCTCTCGTGCTCTTGCTGGGGCTGGTGGTCTGGGGGTCTTACTCCTTGGAGGCCATGAGGGCCATGAGGTCCACCACCCTGTTGCTATGACTTTTCTTTATCACCTTTCTAAAGCCAACTTCTGGTCTTTGAAATTTCCCAACTAGTAATATACTCACAAATAATGGGAGGCAAAACATGTTCTACCCCTGTGAGTGGACAGCACACAGCAGAGATCCCAAATTGATGGAGCTCTGAATAGTCAAGAAAGGGAATTCTTGCAGATCCTCCTAAACTGTAAGTTTAATAAGCCTCTTATCTCTACCTCCAAAGTCCAGTCTCACTGTGCTCCAGATTATTGATGCTGTGGAAAGGATGACCAGAAATTGAGAGAAGTAAGCAGGCTTGCAGTGCAAAGAAGGGCTCTGGTCCACTTACTGCTCTAGTTGCATGACAGGAAAAAGCAGAAAAGAGAACCCACCATGACCATGCCCACCACCTAATGTGGCTTGTCATCATGCTGTATCTGACCAATCAGATAAATGACACTCTTCCCTCAAGAATAATGAGAAAGGAGGCAGGACAATGAAGCCATCCCTGGGATTGGGAGAATAAAGTAAGCTTTCTTTCCCTCTAAAGACCCATCCCAGGTGCTAGAGGTGATGAAAGACATGAGAAATAAAATATAACATTTGTCATCAGAGAGCTCAATGACTAGTAGATAAATCAGGAAGGTAATCCAGACAAATAGAAACATAATGGAAGTTTGTTCAAAATGATATGTGACACAGAGAAGAGTATCGTAAGATCTACTGGATAGGCTTTATAATTATCTCCCTGAGCAGGTAATGTTAAAGTAGACATTAAAGGTCATCTTGAAAGATTAGGAGTTTACCAGGTGCAAAAAAGTTTACCTTATGCATAGAAGCAAGCTGTGCTAAAGAATCAAGACATAAAATAGCATAAGAACTGCTTATGTAACTAGAGTTCCAGATCCAAGTTTTACAGCATTGAGAGATTAAGCTGAATAAGCAATAAGTATCAGAAAATGAAAGTCCTAAGAAGTCTTCTATATCATGCTAAGGAGGTTTGAGTTTTGTCCTACAGGTGATAAAGCAAGTTTGCCACTTTTAATTTATCTTGGCCAGTCTTCCCCAATAGGTTTTAAGAGAGGATAATAATATTAGGAAGTCAGAAAGTCTTGAAAAAGGAAAAATAAGAAAAGTTTATTAGACTCTATTATAAAATGCCAAAAATATGATAGTACCACCTACTTACCACCTACTCCATCCATACAGCTCCTGGGACTTACTGACACAGTAATTAGCAATCAAGGTTACAAGGCCAAATCAAAGTTTCTAAATTCCTATTACAGACCTGATTTCAAACACACAAAGCAGCATAAAAATAAAAAATAAAAAAAATTAAAAAAAAGATTCAGGCTGCACAATTGGATAATTATTTCCTGCTATTAACAAAAACTCAGTATCAAAATAATAGTGCCAGTTTGGAAAGCATAACAAGAAAGATAAAAAATGGTGGTAATTGGAGCATCAAACCATTTAAGGTGAAAAACCAAAGGAAAAATACTTTGTGTCTTTAATTTCAATAACAATGCAACTTGATTTTTTTATTCAAAATTGCATATACAATAAGAGTTAAAGAATTCTTCTCCTTTGAGATGATGGCAATGATAACTATAGGCATTCTCAAAGGCATGGTAACAATGACTTTCAAGTCTGTGATGTTCAGAATGAATTTATCCAGTTTTCTTGAAACAATAATAAAAAGTATTGAAGACTGTGGGGCATGTACCCTATGAGGAGGAAAAATTCAATCTATTAGCATTTGATTTGAGTGTTATTTTCTATGGCTATGTTTTGTTTTCTTATTTCCACCATATGTTTATTATATTATAAATAAATTGTCTTTAGTAAAATTTAATTAGCTGGTATTTGTAAAGCTGTCTAAAGATGGGCTTTGTATAATTGCTAAGCACTTGTTTTATTACCAAGTTTCAATATTTTCTTTGTGTGCTGGCTGCATATAAGTAACATTAATTTTTAATACTGCAGTAGGAATCTCTCATTCTCCATAGCTGTAAAGAAAAAAATAAGGGTGCTGCAGAGGTTTCTGAAGCAACACTCTTAAGGAGTTAATTTCTAGCTTACATAATTATGTTCAGAATTCAGATACTTATCCAGAGCATTTTAAGGCCCTGCAAAAATCATGCTCTAGTCACTGAGTCAGTGTCATCAATATTAGCACACAGGTAAACTCAGGTTTCAGAGAACAGCATTCAGGAAGAAATGCTGCACAGTGTTGAGAAGATACATAGTGTAATTGAGAACTAGGATAATCTGGTCATAGATAAAAGTAGCCACTAGAAGAATCTATGGGGGCTAGTGTTTGCTAAGCTCCATAACTTAGCTGTCAGGTTATAAATAAAACATACCATATATTGTTCCTCAATTCTGCTCCTCACACAGACATTTATTAGATTACTATTTATTAGCAATGTTGGCACAGAATGGATTCGTACCACCTGTTGCCTACATTGGAAAAAATTCCACATCTATGTCCTTTGGATGTTCCAACCACTTAAGTTAATTTTGAAGAAGATACAGCAAAATTCCTGAGACAAGGACTCCATGTGGCATTATGCCATCCAGAAATCCTCCCCAAATTAATAAGTAGACACGGAACCAGCTGGGGTATCAAGATCACAGGTCCCATCCCAGAGGAGTCCACAGAACAAGCAAGCAAGTAGTCAAATTGCAGGTCTTGAATATCTTCACTTTTATAAATGAGATCCCTTTTAAAAAACATTATGATATTTAATAAGATTAATTCTATTAATAAAACCTTATTTTTTGCACTTACTGTTCATTTAGTAAAGTGTCAGTTATTGATTATGTAATAACAGCAGGAATGGCAGAAGCCAGGCCCTTTATCACATTGCTAGCAGACTACCCTTAGACCCTAAGGTCCTGATAGTATCACCTAATCACATCTAGAGCTAAAATTTAAATAACCATCACACACCTACTATCACAATAACAGTACTGTAGTGTTTTAAAGCAAATTTTAGGCATTATAACAGGTGTGCTGGGAAGCATATAGGATTTTGAAAAAAGGTCCCCTTAGCAAATAGTTGCTAAGGTATTTGATGTTTCAAAATTTATTTAACTTTTGTAGTCTCAATATATTCATCCATAAAGAAATGAAAGTAGTAATACATATTGCATAAGATTGTAATGAGAATTAATTGAATTTTTGAAAAGTGCTTTATAAATGGTAAAGCCTTACTTTAGGTTTTATAAAGGTTAAATGATCCTTAAAGGCAGCTGGAAGTACAATTGTAGGCAGAGATGAGGGATTTTCTTAGTCTTATTTTATGCCAGGTATTTCGCTAGTTGCTTTATTGAGAAGATAAAAATATATAATCCTTATAATCTTTAATGTCAAAATAGAAAATCTCTAAGATCCATATTCCTTAATTCAGTCCTATTTAATAAAAATTATGCTTATGCCAGAGATCTTAATAAGAGATCTCATTAGCAAATGTTAATGAAAAATTGGTGGAATACTGTGAACTCCAATACATTGCAGGAAGCAAAATTCTGGACCGCTCACTGATAAAGACAAAATTTAGGAATGTTTAGAAGGCATTTGACCTAGAGTTATTATGAAAATACACTCTGTTTCTTGTTAGATTAAGATTTGTATCAGATTTATACCTGTTCTGTAGCTCCTCATCTTAAAATGTCTTGGCTGTTTTTGAAGAATTTCCTTGAAGGTATGCAGACTTCAAAAGCTGAAAAATCTCCTCCTATGGAAATTAACTATTCATTATAAGGTTAAACATTGTATTTGTTTTTCCATGGAAAAAGTCTATTATAATTAACAATTGTTTTCTGCCCTCCCTGGGGGAGGATTATAATTTTATAACCTTCTGATGACAGAATAGACCAATGAAATGAGAATTAAAATGACAAATTCCAGTTCAAACAGAAACTTTTTGAGCAGGTATGTAGTTTCCTTTCGTTATGAATTTGTCAATGTTTTACATATGAATGTTTCAGCAGCCTGAGGCCCAGAGAAAAGACAATATAGAGAAGAGCCATAAGCACCCTATGATGTTCCCACAGCATCAGTGAGAAAAATCCCTGCTTTTGTAGACCACTGAGATTTTAGAGTCATTTGTCACTGTGGCCTATCCTGACCTGTCCTTACCCACAATCTATAATTTCATTTGTATATAAAAGGTTTAAAATTCCCTTGTCACTTTGTTAATCAGAAAGTATCATGTTCTGTATCTGGCTTTCTTCCTTTAGGCCACAAAGTGACTAAAACATTACATTGGAAAAATAATATGATGATTTATTTTCTTCAACAGCAGGTCTACCCGGATCCAAATTAAACTGGAAGCTAGAAAAGTAGATTTCTTGTACCCTATATGAAAACAGAGATGAAATATCCCTGGCAGTAGGAAAGTACTAATACGTCCCAGGAAAATCCCAGGCATGCAGTAGTCACTCAATACATATTTGTGAAATAAGTGGATAAAAGGTGATACCAATGAATTCAAGTAACAGTGACATGAAAATTGTTTTTTTTTCCCTACAATATTAGGCAGCTTTTGTAAAGTTATTGTGTAAGAAACAACTCCCAAAGTTTAATGATTTAAAAAATAATAATGAATTTTCTTATGCATATGTCTGTGGATCAGAGTCTAACAGCGCTCTACTTCAAACTATAGGTCCAGTTTAGGTCTTCTCTGCATACTTCTCTTTCTGAAACAGAGACTATTCAGAGCATTCTCTCCTAATATCAAACAAGGGAAGCATAAGAGGGTAAACCAAATCATACAACTGTAGCTTCTGGCTGCAAACCAGTGCACATTCCATCACCCAAAGCAAGGGACATCGCCCAGCTCAATATCAATAAGGAGACATATTCTCTGTCTACTCTACTGCAAAGCACATGGCAAAGTGTATGGACCTAAAGTTCTATTATAAGGAAAGTATAAAGAGTTAGGACAAAAATACTATCTAACATATTTATCCCAAATGACATTTTTTTCATGGAAATTTAAAAGCAACAATAAACAGCAGAAATCTCCTCTACAGTATTAGTTACCTCTGTTGAGAATTCTATAATCCATCTAATTGACTGGTATCATGACAAGCTAAGCCAGAAACCTTGAGACTAGTCCACTAAGAGTTGCCTAAATTCAATAGTTGTAATAGGTTGAAATTTTGAAATTGACTAATACTGACACAGGAGTTTCTGTCAGGAATAAATAATCTTCTTAAAATACTTAATTCAAAACTCAAGAAATATTTGGGAACTTTTAAAATATATTTCGAACAAGGCTTTGAAATCATATATATGTATTATAACTATAATTTATACATTAGTGAATATGTATGACTTAATGGTTAATTCTACGTGTCAACTTGGCTAAGCCATGGAACACAGATATCCAATCAAATGCCAGTCTAGATGTTCTTATTGAGGTACTTTTTAGGTAAGATTATCACTTAAGTCAATAGCCTTTCAGTAAAGCAGATTACTTTCCATAATGTAGATGTACCTTATCCAATCTGTTGCAGGCCTCAAGAGAAAAAGACTGAGATCCTCAGAGGAAGAGGGAATTCTGCCTCCAGAGTGTCTTTGAACTCTAGCTGCAACATTATATCTTTCCCGGGTCTCAGCCTGCGAGCCTGCCCTGCAGATTTTATACTTACCAGGCCCCCACAATCACATGAACCAATTCCTTAAAATGAGGAATTCCTAAAGTAATTCTTTCTCTTTGCATATTCTCATATCTTATTGGTTCTATTCCTCTGGAGAACCCTTCATAACCCAATGGCCAACATTATTTATGAATGACAGAAAAATTATGAAATAGAAGTTAACTACAAATGTAATAAAGTTATAGAATGGTTAATGCTTATAAAAGATTTTTCATTTTAAATATAAAGAAGTAAATTATCCACTTTTAATTAATTTGACAATCATAAAAATTAGATGAAAAATGCAGATACAGCATAATCATAAATTCTTCATAGAACTCATTGAATTATAGAAAAATATTTTTAAATAGATTAAATACAGAATATCAATGGAATAAAATTATAGGATATCACTAATAGAACAGAAAATCTGAGGACCACCTGAAAAGTGAAATAAAAATATAATAGACTGTGACTAGAAACCAAATAATGTCACAAATATGAGAAAAATTAGAATCTAAGTTCAAACAATTATAAATGATTCTCAAGACTCAGAGACAGGCTGCTCAAAAAGCCAGAGGGGATCCTAGAGAAATCACCTAAAAACAACTATATACTTTTTAAAACTTAACATTTCTTCTTTCTTCCTAGTGTGGGCATGGGGCTCAGAAACAAAAGCAGAGCAAAGCTTCCGTCAACTTCAGATTGCGACATGAGTTATGGTGAAGGTGGAGGGTGGGCATAGGGTTGGAAAGCATAGAAAGGTGGCCCTGACAGAAAATAATCTAAAGTGCTTCAGAGCCAAGGCAAACCTCCTTATCTGGCAATTGGTGGAAGTGTAGGGTAAGGTTCTCAGTCTTTCCATGACTATTTTCCCCAACACACCTTAAAGTGAAGCTTGCCTGTTGCACTTCCCATGAAAATAGAAATGCTGCAACCAGCCCAAGCAGTTAGAAGAGAGGAATGTTGGTGATAGACAGACTTACATCTCTGGAAATAAAATGCCTTTCTTTGCCTTTACTAATCTACCTAGTCCTTCATTCCTAAATCAGATTGGCAGACAAGTGCCACTAGACTTTTAAAGAAAAGCAATAGGCTGGGTGCAGTGGCTGGCACCTGTAATCCCAGAACTTTGGGAGGCTGAGGCGGGCGGATCACCTGAGGTCAAGAGTTCGAGATCAACCTGGCCAACATGGCAAAACTCCGTCTCTAGTAAAAATACAAAAATTAGCTGAGCATGGTGGTGCATGCCAGTAGTCCCAGCTACTTGGGAGGCTGAGGCAGGAGAATCGCTTGAATCCAGGAGGCGGATGTTGCAGTGAGCCGAGATCATGCCACTGCACTCCAGCCTGGGTGACAGAGTGAGACTCCATCTCAAACAAACAAAAAGAATAAAAAGAAAAGTAATAAACTAAAATAGAATGACCAAGATAAACAAATAAGAAGAGTTGATTTTGGAAAAAAACAAAATTCAAGGAAAAACAGAAATTTTCATAATAATTTAATTAACAGCTTCAGAGGAAAACTAAATATGATCAACAATTTTCATTTGCAATTGCAATGATAAATATGAAGTGTCTGTACTATAGAATAAATTGCTAAAATAAAAATGGCAACTAAAATTAGAAATAAAAATTAGAAGAAAGGTTAAATAGAAAAAGGAAATGGCTAAATAACAAATTAATGATCTGAAAAATAAATCCTATTAAGTCACAATTAATAAAGAGCAACATGACAACAAAATTTAAAGTGTAAATAAATGAAGCTTCACAGAGAGCAATCCAAGATACCCATTTTCCATCTAAAGGGAGTTCCAAATGAAAGAATTCAGATAATCAAAGAAAGGAAATAATAGAAAACCTTTCCACTGAGCTAAAAACGACATCAAATCTTATCTTTAAATTGTCACTGGGTGCCAAATAACATGAATCTTAAAAAAAAAATAGACATATTCTGATTTACCTAAGAACTCAAGGAATAAAGAAAAAAATTCTAAAATCTACCCTTAAAATTATCAAATTACAAAAACATTTAAAGAGATTTGTGTTAGATTTCTCAGGGGTGCCTATATTCTAGAATGGATGGAGTAATATCTTCAATCTTTTGAAAAAAAAATCTAGAAAATACTTTTGAAATAAGCATTCTATACTTAGCCAACATTTTGGTCAAACAGATGAGCAAATTATTACATATTAAGACATAATTGAAGAATTTCTATGGCAAAGTGAAATATAATCAAGAAAAATAATATGTGAAATTTAAGAGAGGATGCAAAGTGAAAACTCCAATAAAAACAGTGAAGTTTTAATAAATGTTGATGTGCAATATCAATGATAATACATGAATCTAAAGTCCAAGATGATTATTACATAGAAAATTGTGCAGAGGCAGATGGAAGAGAAGTTCCCCATTAAGTAAAACTTTGCAAAGACTCAGATTAGATTTTGATCAGATAGAGAATACAAATATTAACCCTAAACGTTGTTGAAAAAAAGATTAAGCTTCAAAATCAAAAGTAATTATTAGAAACCTAGAAATGTAGTGTATAATTTTTAAAAGTTGACTCAACAACATTTCAAAAACCTGAATTAAATAATAACCATAAAAAATATGAAAAGATATCCTAGGATCTGCCTATACAAATATTAGGCTCAGAAATTTCACGAGCAATTTGTAGCAAACTTTTAGGATCAGATAATGTTTGTATTATAATTTTTAAATCCCTGCCCCCAATTTCTTTGTGGTATTTAATTAACAACTTCTATGACAGTAAGAAATGAAACTATAAAGACCTAAGAGTAAATTAATGCAGAATAAAGGGATTTCCAAGAGATTAAATGGTAGAATTCTAGAAATTGAGATCAGTGCAATATGGACATAAGGGAAAGGTAGAAGTCACAAATGATTCCCAGTTCTAATGATAATTGTTGGATGCCATTTACTTAGAAAACACAGGAAAGGAGTGTTTTGGGTAGATAGAGGGGAGATGTTAAATTCTAGTTAAATATGATAAATACTAGAATCAAGGAATATGACACTTGAAGGCTCTGATCATTAACACCAAATAGCATATTACCAAGGCTATTGCTAAGTTACTCCATTTGCAACGCACAGCCTTCCTGAGTAAGAAGTCAGTTAATGTGGCAGCAACAACTTTCATATTTATTTTCACTCCTGTGCCTAGCACAGAAGGAGCTATGGTTCAACAGAGACACACTGATGTGTTACTGACTAACCTTAGATTTTACAACTCACTGTCAGAGTCATTTAATACTTGAATATTTTGTATGTACACAGCCTAACTGGTCATGTCTGTTCTTAGAAAACTATTTACTTTTGCATACATACATTTTTGCAGACAGATATATGCTACAAATATATATATTTGTATTTCAATACTCCACAACTGTTATAATCAAAAGAGAGACAAAATGCCAATATGCCTCAACATCATTAACTTTTCAGAGTACATAAAAGGTTGGAAAGTTTCTCAAGTAATATCACAAAAGAAGCTTAAGTATTAACAACAAAAATGGACAAGAAATAATGTATTCTGATCAAGAAGGGCTTCTTTCCAAGGAATACAAAGAGAGTTCTAAATTAAGAAAATTATATGTATATATATATATATATATACACACACATATAATATATATATGCAGTAATATATATATATATCACTGCATTCATGAATTAAGAAAAACTAACAGATGAAAAAAATTTGATGGAATATTTGTTTAAAAAATATATTAGCAAATAGCAAAAAAAGAAAACTTTTTTTTATTTGATATAATATCTGTATATCAGAATCTCCCAGCAAAACTTAAGGGTAAATAGTTTTTAAAATTACATTGAACTCAGGAACAAATTATAGATGTTAACTGTCTTAGTTCAGGCTATTATAACAAAAATACAAGAGATTGGATGGTTTAAACAAGAAATATTTCTTTTCTCACAATTCTGGAGGCTTGGATATGCAAGATCAGAGTGCTAGCATGATCAGATTTTTGTGAGGGCCCACTTCCTGGTTTCCCCAAATGGTGGAGAAAAAGAGAAAAAAACAAGCTCTCCTGTGTCTCTTCTTATAAGGACACTAATCTCATTCATGAGAGCTTCAATCTCATGACCTAATAACCCCCTAAAGGCCCCACTTTCAAATATCATTTCATGAGGAATCAGGCTTCAACTTATGAATTTTCGGGGGAACACAAACATTTAGTTTTCTAGCACCAATTGTCACTGTCATGTATCATTATCTTTCTGGATATCCCAGACAATGAAGTAAATGAGAAAAAATAAATAAAAAGCACATATATTTGAGAAGGCTAAATAAACTTTAAGGATTTACAAATGATATGTGTCTCTAAAAAAAAAAATCTGGGAGAATTGACTTGAAAATTTCTCAAAATTAATAACTGGTTTTATTATCATTGCTGGATATAAAAGATCCATACTAAAAATCAATACAACAGATTAATACAAGAAACCCCACTACTTTATACAACAGAAATAAACAATAAGAAAAAGTAAAGGGAAAATATCACTTGAATTAGCAACAAAAATATAAAATGTCTAGTAATGTACCTAGCATATTTAGTACACCAAAGGACATAAAAGAAGACTAAAGTAAATAGACACACAAAATTCACGAAAGGAAAAAGTAAATATTATGCCACCTCTATAAATGTTCCTATGTTAAAAAACAAATTCACTGTTGTCCCAAACATGATGCTAACCAAATTCTTAGTCAACTATGACAAGCTAATTCTACAATTTATTAAAAAAGAAAGAAAGGAAAAGGAAAAAGAAAGAAAGAAAAGAAACATAAATAGAGATAGTAAATAAATTTTTTGGAAAAGAGAAAAAATGAAACTTTGTTTTTGTTTTTGTTTTTTGAGACGGAGTGTTGCTCTGTTGCCCAGGCTGGAGTGCAGTGGCCTGATCTCGGCTCACTGCAAGCTCCGCCTCCCGGGTTCCCGCCATTCTCCTGCCTCAGCCTCCCGAGTCGCTGGGACTACAGGCGCCCACCAACGCCTTGCTAAGTTTTTATATTTTTAGTAGAGACAGGGTTTCACCTGTGTTAGCCAGGATGGTCTCGATCTCCTGACCTCGTGATCCACCCACCTTGGCCTCCTAAAGTGCGGGGATTACAGGCGTGAGCCACCTCACCCGGCCAAAAATGAAACTTTTTAAAATCTGTACTTAACCTTTCATGTAACAAGGAGATCCATATTTATGTGTACCTGGAGTTATCTAAGCTATAATGTTTGAGAGCACAGTTCCCACACAAAACCATCCTCACTTGTGACATCAATTAGAAGTTTACAAATGTTTCCACAACCACCCTTAAGTTTGATAATTAGCTTAAAGGACTCAGAATTTATTGAAAGTAATTATACACACAATACGATTTATTACAGAAAAAGGATACAGATTACAGTCAGCTAAGGGGAAAAGACACATAGGCTAGAATCCAAGAGGATCCAAAAAGGGAGTTTTCAATTGTCTTCTTTCTGTGGTGTCATGGATGGCACTGCCTCCTCCTGGTCACCTTTTATAACAATATGCACAGAGTATTGTCAACCAAGGAACCTCACCCAAGTCTTGGTGTCAAGAGTTTTTATTGGAGCTCAGTCACATACTACCTGCATGACTCACCTTAAATCTCAAGCCCTTCCTGGAAATTTGGCTAATACCTTTGGTCATCAGTTCCTCTGGAGTTTGGAATTTATATATCACAGCCCAAAGTCCCCATCATAAATCACATTGTTAGACTGTCCAGTGGCCAAAGCCCCCAAAGGCAAATAAAGACACTCCTATTAGGCATGACGTTCTAGGGCCTAGAGATCTCTTACCAAAAGTCAAGGGTGAAGTTCAGACTTCTCCTTGGTAAGGATAATTTTTCACTACACAATATAAAAATGTAGTGTGTAACAGTTTATCCAAATAAAGAATGATGTACTAATGTTCATATAAAAGCATAGACAAAATTTCTCGGAAAACATATACCAAACAGTAAACTGTAATATGATCAAAGCTATGAAGATGCAGAGGAATATCAGGGGCAAGGAATGCAAGGAGACAGTCATTTTCTGCTCTTTGTACTTTTAAAGTGTTTGGATATTTTTTTAACAGTAAGAATCAGGGAAAATGGCAGAATGGGAAGCACCAGGGTTCTCTCTCCCCACCTAGACAACAATTGCACTGGTAAAATCTTTCAGCTGTAACAATTTGGGAACTCTGGAGAGCACTGTAGGCTTGCAACTTCCAGGGGAAGGACTGGATAGTAAATTGGGGTTAATTGTGATCATGGTCATTTTTAGCTCTTAACATAGTAGTAGCTATACATCCCCCTCCTGAATATATTAAGAGACTAATACATTTTAAATATGGCAATTATTAGTATAAAAGCTAGTATTATTGTAACAACAGTTTGCAAATGCATATTTTGCTTTCTACATAATTTAAAAGACTAATACATTTTGAAAAATTATGAGTTTATGTTTTTGAACACACAATGTATAAAGATGTAATTTTGTGACATCAAAAACTGAAAGGAGTGGGGAGAAAGATGTAAAGGAGCAATTTTTATATGGTATTGTAGTTAAGCTGGTATAAATCCAAATTAGAATGTTATAACTTTAGGATGTTAAATGTAATCCCCATGGTAACCACAAAGAAAATAGCTGTAGAATATACACAAAAGGAAATGAGAAAGGAGTTTAAATATTTCACTACAAAAAATCAACTAAGCACAAAAGAAGACACTAATACAAGAAATAAAGGGCAAAACAGCCATAAGGCATATAGAAAACAAATAGCAAAATGACAGAAGTAAATTCCTCCTTATCAGTCAGCCTTAAAAAGGAAGGAACTTCTGACATATGCTACATGGATGAACCCTGAGGTGATTATGCTGAGTAAAATAAGCCAGTCAAAAAAAAGGGTTAAATGCTATATGATTTCACTTATATGAGGTCCTTAGAGTAGTCAAAATCATAGACACAGAAAGTATAATGCTGGTTACCAGGGCCTGGGGGAGGGAAGAATTGGGAGTTAGTCTTTAACAGGTGTAGAGTTTCATTATTGCAAGATCTGGAAATGGAAGATTGTGATAGTTGCACAATATGACATACTTAATGCCACTGAAATGCAAACTTAAAGCTGCTTAAAATGGTAAGTTCTATTTTATGTCTATTTTATTGCAATAAAAAATTGGAAAAAATATTAGTTAGTATTTATCTTATGCGATTTGTCTTAGTCCATTTGGGCTGCTATAACAAGATACCTTAGACTGGGTAGTATATAAACAACAGAAATTCACTGTTGACAGTTCTAGAGGCTGGGAAGTTCAAGGTCAAGTTCCAGCAGATTTGGTGTCTTGTGAAGGCTTGCTCTCTGCATCACAGATGCTTTCTTGCTGTGTCCTCATATGACAGAAAGGCACCAGGGAGCTCTGTTGAGCCTTTTTTAAAGGGCACTAATCGCTTTCCTGAGGGCTCCACTGTCATTACTTAGTCATTTTCCAAAAACTCCATCTCTTATTACCATGATTTGAGGGGTTAGATTTCAACATATAAATTTTAGGGAGGCATATATGTTCAGACTATAGCATGATTTAAATAACAGTTTAATGAAACCAGTTTCTCCCCACTTCCACTAAATAATGTGAAAAATTATCTAAACAATATTAGGTTTAAAGGGAGACAAATTATTAGGTTGCTGGAAGTACTCTTGGACCTCAGAAACCAGTACCTAAAAATATGATATTTTGACATACTGGACTAAAGAAGGCTCGAAGTCCCTCTGACACTCCCCTCTGCCTCTCCAACACACATATCTCTCCCAAAGCATAGGATAAAAAGGATAAAACAGTATAAAAAGGAGAAAGAAAGGACAAAGTTGTTTTCTGAATTTTCTCTATGACCAATGGGAACAACTGTTTTCCTCCCCTCCCTGTTGTCTAATTATCTATCGCAGAAAAGAAGACCAAGAATGTAACCACATCTGAGCACACATGAGATCATGGCTGTCTCTCAGACTCAAGCAAATTCCAAAGAGATCTACTTACCCGTTCATCTCTGTTCCCTGTCCATTCATTCTCCCTAGCAATCTTTACTGTCTCTCAACAGAATCCCTCTTCTCCCACCTCCCAGAACTTGTTTTGTCAAGATGGGAAATAAGCTTCTGAATCTCAGTGGGTGATTGGGTCTTCGTTCTGAAGCTTCCCTCATAAACACATAAATTTATATGCCTTTTTTTTTCTATTAATTTGCCTCATGTCAGTAATTTTTCAACTTCCAGGGGGTCAAGGGCCTTGGCTCTGCATAGTACTATGCATTAATTTGGCCATGATGGGCTCTCCTATTTACTTTTGAGGAAGTGGAAGTTAAAATGAGCTGAGTGCAACTCTCGTGACTCTAAGGACATTTTTAGTGTATGTGAGACATATTCCCCCCATTTCTTTCTCTTAATCATGATCCACAGTCAAATGTCACAGGCTTCAGAAGGGCAGAGATAGGCAGAGATTGCACACTAGCCCACGCTGAAGGTCTTTTTTATGAACTACTCTTCCTAAATACATTCTTTTAAGTCAATGTTTCTCAAACTTTCACCCTTGCTCTGCTTCTCTTATCAGGCTGCAAAGCCACAGAGGGTGAGCTCATCTACCTTGAGATCATCTTTTGTAATTCGTGGTGACTCAAATTATATTCTTTGGCACCAGCTCCCCAATTTCAACTTCTGTATTCTATCTTTTTAATCTCTGTCTAATCTCTTTGCTCTGCATTATTTCTACAGTCGTTCTTGGTTTAGGTTATTTTATTCCTTAATGTCTTAACCATTAATTGAAGGACTAGGATAGTAACATAAATAAGCAAAACAGACAGCTGTAAGAAAATCAGGAGTAGTGAGGACTACAAAAAACAATAATTCTTGACCCTTTTAAAAGCATTCACAAGCAAAGTTTTGTTTGTTATTATATGTCTTTTGTTTTGCATCGTGGTGGATAAATACTTCTGTAGCTGTATTAGTCAAAATTCTCCAGAAAAACAGAACCAATAGAATATATATATATATATATATATATATATATATATATATATATATGATTTATAATTAGGTATTGGATCACATAATTATGGAGGCTGAGAAGCCCCACAATCTGCCATCTGCAAGCTGGAGGCCCAGGAAACTGGCAGTGTAGATCCCAGTCTAAGTCTGAATGTCCAAGAACAAGGAGAACTGAGGGCAAGTGAAGGTCAAAGTCTTAGTTTAAGCAGCCAGTCAAAAAGCAAATTCAGCCTTCCTTCATCTTCTTGTTCTATTCAGGCTCTTAATGGATTGGATAGTACCCACCCACATTTGACTCATCTACTTTACTTAGTCTACTAGTTCAAATGCTAATCTCTTCTAGAAACATCCTCATAGACACACCCAGAAATAATGTTTAGCCAGATATCTCATCATTCTGTGGGCCTGTTGCAGGGGAGTCCCAGATCACCTCTGTATTAGTCTGTTTTTACACTGCTGATAAAGACATACCTAAGACTGGGAAGAAAAAGAGGTTTAATTGGACTTACAGTTCCACATGGCTGGGTGGAGGCCTCAGAATCATGGCAGGAGGTGAAAGACACTTCTTACGTGGTGGTGGTGGTGGTGGTAAGAAAAAATGAGAGAGATGCAAGGGCAGAAAGCCCTGATAAAACCATCAGATCTCATGAGACTTATTCACTACCATGAGAACCGTGAGAATCTTGGGGGAAACCACCCCCATGATTCAAATTATCTCCCACTGGGTCCCTTCCGCAACACATGGGAATTATGGGAGTACAATTCAAGATGAGATTTAGGTGGGGACACAGAACCAAACCATATCATTCTGCCCCTGCCTACTCCAAATCTCATGTCCTTACATTTCAAAACCAATCTTGCCTTCCCAACAGTCCCCCAAAGCCTTAACTCATTTCATCATTAACTCAAAAGTTCACAGTCCAAAGTCTCGTCTGAGATGAGGCAAGTACCTTCTGCCTATGAGCCTGTAAAATCAAAAGCAAGTTAGTTAATTTCTAGATACAACGGGGGTACAGGCATTAGGTAAATACAGCCATTCCAAAGGGGAGAAATGGGCCAAAACAAAGGTGCTACAGGCCCCCATGCAAGTCCAAAATCCAGGGGGACAGTCAAATCTTAAGCTCCAAAATGATCTCCTCTGACTCCATGTCTCACATCCAGGTCACGCTAATGCAAGAAGTGGGCTCTCACCACCTTGGGAAGCTCTGCCTCTGTGGCTTTGCAGGATACAGCCCTTTTTCTGGCTGCTTTCATGGGCTGGCATTGAGTGTCTGCACCTTTTCCAGGCACATGGGGCAAGCTCTCGGTGGATCCACTATTCTGGGGTCTGGAAGATGGTAGTTCTCTTCTCACAGCTCCAGTAGGCAGTGCCCCAGTAGGGATTCTGTGTGGAAGCTCCGATCCCAGATTTTCCTTCCATGCTGCCCTAGCAGAGTCTCTCCATGAGACCCTAACCCCTGTAGCAAACTTCTTCCTGGACATCCAGGCAATTCTATACATCATTTGAAATCTAGGGGGAGGTTCTCAAACTTCAATTCTTGACTTCTGTGCACTCGCAGTCTCAACACCACATGAAAGCTGCCAAGGCCTGGGGTTTGCATCCTGTGAAGCCATGGCCTGAGCTCTACCTTGGTCCCAGTCATGGTTGGAGTGGCTGGAATGCAGGGCACCAAGTCCCTAGGCTGCACACAGCACAGGGACCCTCAGCTCGGCCCATGAAACCACTTTTTCCTCCTGGGCCTCCAGGCCTGTGATGGAGGGGCTGCCATGAAGACCTCTGACATGACCTGGAGACATTTTCCCCAGTGTCTTGGGGATTAACATTTGGCTCCTCGTTACTTATGCAAGTTTCTCCAGATTGCTTGAATTTCTCCTCAGAAAATGGGATTTTCTTTTCTATTGCATTGTCAGGCTACACATTTTCCAATGATCTGTTTTCCTTTTAAAATTGAATGCCTTTAACAGCACCCAAGTCACCTCCTGAATGCTTTGCTGCTTAGAAATTTCTTCCACCAGATACCCTAAATCATCTCTCTCAAGTTCAAAGTTCCACAGATTTCTAAGGCAAGGGCAACATGCCACTAGTCTGTTTGCTAAAACATAACAAGAGTCACCTTTGCTCCAGTTCCCAACAAGTTCCTCATCTCCATCTGAGACCACTTCAGCCTGGATTTCATTGCCTATATCATTATCAGCATTTTGGTCAAAGCCATTCAACAAGTATCTAGGAGGTTCCAAACTTTCACACATTTTGCTGTCTTCTGAGTCCTCCAAACTGTTCCAACCACTGCCTGTTACCCAGTTTCAAAGTCGCTTCCACATTTTCAGGTATCAGCAATGCCCCACTCTATTGGTACCAATTTACTGTATTAGTTTGTTTTCACATTGCTGATGAAGTCATACCAAAAACTGGGAAGAAAGAGAGGTTTAATTGGATTTAAAGTTTTATATGGCTGCAGAAGCCTCAGAATCATGGTGGGAGGCAAAAGGCACTTCATACTTGGCAGTGGCAAGAGAAAAGATTTAAAAGTGGAAACCCCTGATAAAACCATCAGCTCTCATGAGACTTATTTACTACCATGAGAACAGTAGAGGGGAAACTGCCCCTATGATTCAAATTATCTCTCACTGTGTCCATTCCACAACACATGGGAATTGTGGGAGTACAATTAAAGATGAGATTTGGGTGGGGACACAGAGCCAAACCATATCAACCTTCAACTCCTCTTTGGCTTTGAGTGGGCTCTTCAGCTGCATCTAGAAATCAAACGGACACCAGGCAGATTAACAGGAGAAAAAAAATACAAATTTTATTAGTTTTACATGTACATGAGGACCTTCACAAGACAGTGAAGTCTAAAAAAGTAGCCAAAGCAAAATGCTTCTATATTTTTTAGACAAAAAATAATAAATTTAGAAGAAGTGGCAGGACAAAAAAAATCTGGCTAAGGGCAGTAAATTTTTAGGGAAGTCACGAGAAGATATAGGAGGTGGGGTGTAAAACTAATGGAAGATAAGGGTTACTTCGGTAAGCATATTTATTCAGGTCCACTGCAGCCCCCAATTCCCAGTCTCTGGTGATAGGGCTATTTTTTCACCCTGATACAGGGAGGCTACCCCTTTCAGATAAATTTTTATGGTTTGCTGCATGCAGGAAGAGACAGATGAGCTAGCCCTCTGTGAAACTACAATTTCTCCAATGTTTTCCAAATAATCAGAATACCAATCTGGTATATTTGGGAATGTCACATCTTTCCCTCCACAGTAAGTTGACACATAAAATTATTCATAACAAATATATCCCTTGGTCTCTGCTGCTGGTAGACAGGGCACTCAGCAGCAGCCATAGCCAAGCTTACCTTGGTAAGTTGAAGACCATGTTGCTGAGCCCATATATAACCTCTGTTCTTGCCACCATGGCCACTTTGTCCATAAGCCTATTAGGAAATGGCAGGAGTGAGTGGAGAAAGAAGTGGACTTGTATCTACTGAATGTGCCTTCCTAACAACTTCATTTTTAAAATCGTCCTCTTCTTAGGTCACACTGTGGTAAGCATTCATTTGACACACAAATATCTTCATGGTTTTTTTGCCTATTTAGAGAGCTCTATCTGCATACCTTTTCCCAAAATTTCCTTGTCACCAATTTGCCAATCATCTTCCAAGTCCCTGACCATCCGGCCATTGACCTCATTATATACTGAGTGTATGACTCAGTATATAATCACACATCTGGCCATTTCTCCTTCTAAGTAAAGTGAAATCTGATGCACTACTTGGAGTTTTTCTTACTGAAAAGATTAAAATTTACCAACACAGTGTCCAAATTCCCTACTGGTTTACGAATTCTGTGTACATGGTCTCTGTGACTTAATTCTTGTTCTTTCTGAGTCTTCTATTTGGCTGCTGAAATTACCTGTCTTAAGATGTAAATCTAATGACATAATTCCTCTACTCAAAAATTTTCCAAAGATTTAACTCTAGTTTGAAATCAAAACACTTTACCATTACATCCAATACTTTAATTATCTGATGTCAGAATTTTTTTAAGCTGTATCATTTACCATTCTTATATTACACTGTGACCCAGTTACTCTGAATTTTTTTCATCATTTAATGTCCTGTCCTTTATGTTGCATCTATGACTTTCATGTTTAAAAGTTGTCCTTGACTTCTCCACTTTGCGTTAAGCCTCTTTATTATTTCCTCAATGTCACTGGCCTGCTCCCCTTAAAGAAATTCTCACAGATTGCATTGCATTAGTATATGTTTGCTTTTCTCTCTCACTGAAGTGTGTGCTCTTCATGGGTGGGCTTGATGTGTTTATGTCTGTAGAAATGGTATTTGGAACTTTAGAGAGAGAGATTGATGTATTTTTTTCTGAAAAATATTTTCTTCTAACTACCAAGTGAGCTACTAGTTTCAATATCCCTTATCAATTGATAACACAGAGTTTGGCAACAGACCATATTCAATTCCTTCCTCTGCCATATATTATCTGTATGACATTAGACAGTTTACATAACCTCAGTAAGCCTCAGTTTTCCCACAGTGTCTACCTAACCTAGTAACTATAATAATTTTTTTTTGTCTTTTTTTTTTTTTGAGACAGAGTTTCGCTCTTGTTGCCCAGGCTGGAGTACAATGGCAGGATCTCGGCTCACCGCAACCTCCGCCTCCCAGGTTCAAGCGATTCTCCTGCCTCAGCCTTCCCAAGTAGCTGGGATTACAGGCATGCGCCACCATGCCCGGCTAATTTTGTATTTTTTTAGTAGAAACGGGGTTTCTCCATGTTGGTCAGGCTGGTCTCGAACTCCCGACCTCAGGTGATCCACCCGCCTCGGCCTTCCAAAGTGCTGGGATTACAGGCATGAGCCACCACGCCCGGCCAATAACTATAATAATTTAAACAATATAATTCATTTGTACCAAGCCTAATACTTTGAGGTTGTTTAATAAATGCTGGGTGATGGTCATGGTAATAGTAGTAGTAGTAGAAATGCAAGTAATGCTAGTAAAACTTGAAAAGAAAAAAAGCTAAACTGTAATTCAGGTGAAATATAAAGCATATTATCTTTTATTCTAGTAGCTCTCAGTAAACACACACAAATCTTTTCTTGCCTCAAACTGAACTCATTGTATCATCGTTCCCTGATTCTCCCTAACCCCATCTTGAATTTTCTATCTACTGAAAAGCACCACCACCCATACTCACAGCAAATCTAGTAGCTTTGGAGGCCTTCTTTATTCCTTCCCACTCTCAGTTCCTTCAGCCAATTAATCATCAAACTCTGTTGCTTCTATAATGCAACAACTATCATACTAGTCTCACTGCATTGTGTCTCGCCAACTCTAATTGATTTTCTAAACAGCTGCCAGAATAAGCTGAATGTTTCTATCCCCTTCAGTGCTTCCTATTGAGCAAACTCCTTCCCATTGCCCAGATGAGACTCAAAAGATTCACAAAACTCTATTCTGGCCTAATACTCCACCATCATCCCTCACCACTTCTACCCTTATACCCTGTACTCTGTCTGGTAATAATCTGTTCCATTATTTCAATTTATCTTGCTCTTTCTCGGAATTAGGTCTTCACCCAAGCCATTTCCTTGTCTAAAACAGGCTCCCCAAGTCTTCTTAACCTGGTCATCTATCATCATTCAGTTTTCACCATATGTGTGATTGACTTCCTCCAAAAAGTCTTACCTGACATACATTATCCCCATACACACACTCCAACTAACCATGGGAGTATCTCCTATGGCTCGTTCAACACAGCACTTAACCTATTTCATTGTATTACAAATACCTGTTTTCTTGTCCTTCTTTCCCACTGCATTATGCTATAAGCGTTGTGAGAGCAGAAAACAGATGTGTCTTACTTATCTCAATCCCTGCTGCACATAGTAGGAATTGCAGTATTTATACATGATAAAATAAATGAGTGAATGAGGAAAATTTTAAGCCTATTTTGAAGCCATCTGAGTGAAACTGGTAGGTCTAAAATTCTTTCTTCTGTAGCCCAGCTTCTGAGGTGACCCTAAAAAAATGGCTGCATTCCTGAGTTTTCATAGCTGTCTGCAGCCACTGTTTGAAGTTTAGCAGTTCTGTGAAGTTCTGTGGTGTGACGTATAGCAACTCTCTTCTGCTCAGCAGTAAGAAACTTTTTCACTTTATTTATGAGACTGGACACACTCATTCTTTCATTGAAAATTTCTTCTTCAACTGATTGATTTTATTTTTCATAAACATTACTTTTAAAAACTCTGTTTATTTGATTCTTCCTTTCTGCTGTCTGTGTATAGAATGCCACTGGGTTTTATTACCATTACAACTGGTAAAACCAGCCAGCTATGCTGACTGGGTCAAGATCTTATTTTGCTTATTCAAACTTTTCAACTTAATAAACAAATAAAAACTACATTTCTAGACATCAGTGATTTGTTGTATTTGAAATGATACTGTCTATTATATACAACCTTCATTCTTTGAAGAAAACTCTGGACAATCCTTGCCTCTATTATTATTTCTAATGAGAGGAATGGTTAGGTTTCAGTGGTGCAAATCAAATCCTTCCCAGAAAGTTTTGGCATCATCTACTTGTGAAGATAAATAAAAGAGCAATTTGGCATAATGGATAAAACATGGGCTTTGGGAATCTGATGGCAGTGAATGAAGTTGGAGTCATGGCTTCATTAATTCCTAGCTGTGCAAACTTTGGCATTTTAATAAACCCTCTCAGACTCACTTTTCTCATTTGTTTTTTAAAAGGTTTACAATAATAGTTACAACAAGGTTGAGTGTTGAGTAGTGGACATTAAGTGCTATATTCATTATACATTATTATCATAGTTTATATATGTGCGTTACTGTTTACAATGAAGAAACATCTGCAGCAGAGTATATAAAAACATAATACTATTATATAATCCCAACCTGAATGATGCATGTTGATCCTGGCAATCTTGATAAATAGTCCTTTGAGGAGAGCTAACCTGGGAGCTACCTTTCCAGTTAGGGATTCAGCATGATCTGATGTTTTTCCCATTTTCATGTAGGGTGGTTCGATTGTTAGTATGGAAGTTAGAACATTCGAAGGCCCTTGTTATTATACATACACATCACAACTCTTGACCTACAACTTTCAAGATGATATGATGTCAGGCGATATGGATTATTGCAACTTTTTCTGAACTTTATTCTTGAGCTTTAAAATGGAATATTCACCCAATGTGACCCTATCTCTAAAAGAATGTGCTTGAATGTTGAATACAAAAGCAAACTATGGATAGAATACTACTCAGTTTGAGCTCAATGTTTGAAATAGGCTAAAGATTTTCTAGAGTTGGTACTTCTCACCTACTGACTCAAATGGGAAGCAGTCTCTACTTAAGTACTATGTCCAAGATTAATACTGAAAAGATGCTTCTTTAATTTTGTAAATGTTAATGAAGTGGCTTCTCTGAATAGATTTCTTATTTGAATGGCTAAAGATTACAGATTTTACTCAGCTAAAGACTTGCTGATGGAAGAAAGATGTTTTCTGGTTATCTATAGGGGCTTGAGAAACCATCTAAAACTTAGGTGGCTGTGGGAGACTCACTCTAAGGTGACCACCCATGAGTCATGCTCTTGCATAAGTGGAATCTGTGCAAATAAGTTCAAATAGAATCTATGGCTTGCTTCTAACCATTAGAAAATGACAAAGGTGATGAGATGTCTCTTGAGTGATTAGATTATGTTGTGTGGTGAAGGTGATGGGATGTCATCTTTGATTATGCTGTATTACACAAGACCCTGTCTCAGCTGATTAGAGCAAGGAGCAAACACCACATTGTGAATGGCATCTGGAGAAGGCCATGAGGCAGGGTCTGCTAATGGTCTCCAGGACCTCAGAGAGGCCTTCTGCTGACAGCCAGAAAGAAGACAGGCCATGAAGTATATAGCTGCAAGGAAATGGATTCTGCCAAGAACCTGAATGAGCCTGGAAGTGGATTCTTCTCTAGACAACACTTAGATGAGATGGTAGTTTTGTGTAACATCTTAATTACAATCTTGTGAGATCCTGAACAGAAGACCCAGTTAGGTTAAGACCTGACTTTTGACCCAGAGAAACTCTAAGATAATAAATGTGTGTTATTTTATGCTAGTAAATTTGTGGTAATTTCCTGTATATCATCAGAAAAGTAATACAGTGGCTGAAGCAAAAATGATTTATTATTTCTGATTCTTCTTTGGGTTGACTTGGTCTCATGTGGGGTCAGCTGGAATAATCACATGGTTACCTTCAGCTGAGAGCTCAGATGTAATGTCTAAGATAGTCTCACATTCCGCCCACGCCACCCACCACAACAGGAAAACTGAACTTCTTACATGGTGGCTCAGAACTCCAAGAGAGAAAAAGTGGAAGTTGTCAATTCTCCTAAGGCTTAGACTCAGCACTCTCAGACCTTCCTTCTCCCTTATCTAATTAGTCTAAGCAGAGCACATGGCATCTCAGGTTCAAGAGTAGAGGAAATAGACTCCAACTCTTAGTGCTGGAGCATCATGGGCATATTTGAATGGAATTAACTGTTGATGGCAATGTTTTCAGGTAATTTACCACAATACACTGTCTGGCTTTAACAATTCACATCTATCCCACATACAAAAGGCACTCACTCCCACTCAAGACACAAAAGTCTTATCTAATTATGGAATCGAGTTTGAAGCCCAGTATCATGTGATCTACGTTCATATCAGATAAATCTCTTACCATGTGGATCTTGTCAGTTGGAGATTTGCAATCCAAAGAAGACAAAAATATGTATACAATGGCAAGGCATATGTTCCCATAGCTTGCTACTCTGGGACAGAAAATATTCTGAATCTAGTCTGTTTCCTGGAAACGATTCTCCATGACTCTAAGCTCCATCCTTGACCTTTGGCTCTGTCCTCGGAATGATCCTTCCTTTTGATAAGAAATATCCTATAGTTATAGCTGAGTAACATTCTCAGCCTTCATCCTGCCCATAGAAGGCTGGGAATTTAAATACCTCATTTCATTTTAAACTTTCTTTGTTCCTTTTCTTTGTTCCAATATAATTCAACTACCTTAAAAAACACTGAGTTTTCAAGATATCAAATTGTAATCCACTACATTAGAAAAATGCCACAATCACAAATCTCTTTAAGGCAGGCCTCTTTCCACTTTAAGTTGAGATTCAGGATGCCCCAAGATAATATCTTTAAAATCCCTAGAAGGCTTTTGCCTGGTTGCATTTTTCTACCAAGCACTGTCCTTCAATCTTTCAGTTTTTAACATTCTATACCATTACTTTGTTCTTAATGCTGAGGCCACACATTATTGTCAGAGCCTCAGTTTCACCTTTTCTCTGAAGCTACTTCTTACTTTGGAAGCCTTTTGTTGATCTGAAAAATTAAGAATGATAAATAGTGTCCTTTTCCATCCCAGCAATACCTGGGTTAAAAACATTTCTTCTCAATTCTGCTTGAAAATTGAAAATTTTCTTCTTTAGTTCATCTGTCTTTTGCATTACTTTCTCATAGGCAGCTTAAAAAGCCATTTTCAAAAATTTGCCTAGAAACTTACCCAGCCAGATCCAGAGTTCTTTAGATACTTTTATCTGTCTTCCCAGTAACTTTAGGCAACAGTCTCACAAATTTTTCTGCCAATACACGACATGATCTACCCTTTCTCCACTTTTCCATAGCAATTTCCCCAGTGTCCATTTTCCTCCACTAGCAATCACCTCACTTACCATTCAGGTCTCTGCCTGCTACCCAGTCACATGCCAAGCAAGGCCTTATATTTTATGTTGCAAACTCTACCCAAGTTTATCCTTTAGACCCTGAGTATCTTTATCCATATCTGGGCTTGACTGAAGTGACAGAATCCTGGACTTGGAGCTGGTTCCATAATGGGACGTCACTTTTGAAGGAGATATGAATGTATTTTCAGGTGAAGGGAGATGTGAATTGTTGTGGCAGAGGACAGAGATAGATGGTCTCTAAATACGGCTGTCAACACTTCTTTCCATCCTTGTCCATGTCTGTCACTCTCTCCATCAAGAAATGGAGTCTATTTCCTCTCTGCTTGAGATTGGCCTAGTCTTCTGACTTCCTTTAAATGCAGCTAGACTGGCATTCTGGATCTAAGTGTTAGGAAGACTGCATGTTCTGCTTTCTACCTTTTGGAACCAAGTCACAAGACTAATGTATGTCAACAAACTATTTGTACAAGCACCCTAGAGGATAAGATGACATTTTGGTCATTTCAGCCCCAGCTGACTTTCCAGTCAAATGTGTTCTCACAGCCACCTGGAAAAACTACCCAAATTAGCCCAGTCAATGCATAGAACTATGAGAAACAATAAATAATGTTTTGTATCACTAAGTTTTATAGTATTTTTTAAGGCAGCAGCAGAAACCTGAAATAGAAATCTTGATTATAAAATCACATGCAACACAATTATGTTACATCTCAGTTAAAACTGTGGTTCCCTCATAAACAACTCCCACTTATTTGACACTAATCTGACACAAAGACAGTTGCTTGTATCCACCAAAATGTATCTGAATAATATGACATTGAGTCTAGTTCTCTAATTATTTAGTGATTTCTTCAAATATACTTGATTACGATGAGTCAGAAATACAAAAGGCTTAAGAAATAAGCTTGTCCTTCACAAATACATAGGAATGGATTATTTGATATTATGTTTGTTATAAGGTAGTTCTGGGTTTCTCACAAATGCATACCAAAGGACATGGTAACTAATATGGAATACTAATAATGTGCCTACTAGTTACCCTTTTATTCATATAATTTACTCACATATGGAGGCTGGATTAATTTGCTTAGGAGAAATTTAAATTAAATTGCCTTTCTCGATATTTAGTTTTCTTTTTCACACTAGGATTCTAGTCTCATTAGCTGAAAATACAGTGTCTGGTATTTAGTAATAACATAGCAAAGGTTATGTTTTAGACCTAAAAATCATAGAACGAATCAAGCTCTACATACCTTAGCTTAGGAAAATAAAAACCGCAAGCCAAAGTAAATATAAACGTACTCAGATAATCATTGCTTTTACTAGGAGGAAACTGAGTTTCAGGGAGATCAAGTATCTTGCCCAGGATTGCATAGCTTTCAGAGATGGAATTTTGAGCCCAAGTCTGTCTGTGCTAAAAGTTCATGCTTGTCTCTTTTTCTTTTCCTCTTTGTCACAGTGCCTTCTAGAAACTGAGGTACCCTGTGAAGTGTGAAACCTGGGAATAGAACATTGAACAAACCTTTGGAAGGAATGTGTTCTGTGTTTTTTTAGTGGCCATGGTAGACTACAACTCTAGAAGGTACTAGTCTCCTGCAGAATAGAACAGTGTTGCTTATCAATCACTGACTATGGCTGCCTTCATTTTATGTACTATGAAGTTCCATTATACTTTTTAAATTCTTAATTATTCTGTGTCAATGTATTCAACTCTCAAAAAAAACTTACAAAGGAGAATGAAAAAAGGCAGCTAATACAATTGCTATCTTTTATTGAGTGCATACTATGTGCCATCAATAATTATATACCTAGAAATTTCTATTTAATAATTTCTATATCTATGGTATCACTTATTTTTGTTACTCAGGGTCTCATGAGAAGATAAATTTTCCCTAAAAATCAGGAAAGTAACTAAGGTTGTATGATTGCAAAAGGCTAATATAATAAATTCATTGTACCTGGGTAGTTAATATATCTGAATATACCACCAGTAAACAAAGCATGGAAAGAGCCATGGACCAGTATTTACCAAATCTAGCCTAAGGATCTGTCAAAAAAAAATCTTTCTAGTTTAAAACTTCAGAGATTCTGATTAATTAGTTGTATCAGGCATGATTTCAGCATGAGTCAAAAGAAGTAATTGAAAAAGATTATGAAGAGAGTATTTTTAAAACCAAATTAATGCAAAAAAAATTATGATCAACAAAATATCACAATTTTAAATAAAGTGTCAGGCACAGCCATATTGGAACCTGAAGGAAAATAAAAAATCACTAATAATGATATCATTTTTGTTCAAAATTTTGATATTGTATTCAGCATAGATTTTTTTTCATTAGTTTTAAATTTAATAAATTAGTGCATTAGAATATTACCAATATTGATTACTGAGATGTATGGCAAATTTTGTTCCCTTAAATTTTGTGCTTGAGGCAAGAGCCTGAGGTTCTTCATTCCACCCTGTCCCATAGAGCATGTGACATCAAACATGAGCCACTTAACTAACTGCTTGGCTCCAGAATTTATGCCACAGCTTTACTGCTTATCAACCTCATGGCCTTGAATTATTTTGTTTATTTATTTAATAACTTATTGTATAAATCTATTGTGAGAATTAAATGAAATAAACCTTATGAAACAGTACAATGTTCGGTACCAAGTAAGCTCTTAACAAGTATAAGTTAGTATTTATGTCTAGAGTTTTAATTGTATTTGATTAATTGAGGAAGTAAAATTCTTCATTTTATATTATATATTAATATAGTGTTTGTTTAGAATTGTAAATAGTAACAGTGGCATCGGGAAAAATATCTGCTTGAAAATCTCTGTTTGAAAACCTCTGCCTTCTAAGAGGTCTAATTCCAAAGTAGTTCTATCCAATAGTAACAGAAATAAAATGATAGGAATATTCTAAAATATATACTGTCTGATATGGTAATCACTAGCCATGTGGTTTAACATGTAGCTAGCATAACTAAGGAACCAACAATTTTAATATAATTTAATTTTAATTCATTTAAATTTAAATAGCCACATGTGGATGGTAGCTACTTTATTGGATACCACAGATACAGGTCCCAGAGAATATGAATTTACTATTTTTCTTCCACGCAGAAAAGGAGAATCAATGTGAAAGTACTTACTAAAAGACTTGTCACAAAACGGGTGTCCAATCAAGGCTGTTTCCCCTCACTCAAACTTAAAGAACACACCTTTACTCATCACTCCAGTTTATGATAATTTTTCCACATACATTACACTCAAAGGTTGCAGTTTTTACAGTGGTCTACAAAGTGGGAGGTGCATAACCAGGAATGGGCAAGATGATCCACTGAGGGCAGGAGGAAAATAAAGTTATAGTACCTGATATTTATTTTTAATATAAATATGAGGAGGAAATTAAGGTTTATAATATTCAATAAATGGGCTAACCATGACATCCTTACTCTTTCTTTATATCAGAAAATCTTCCCCACAAAGCAGAAGAACTCCACAAGTTGGAGATGTTGATAGTTGTGGTCTCACTGGATGGCTTCAATATTGTAGCATATCATAGTTTGAATTTATGAGATGTTATCATATTGTTAATTACATTAAAAATAAAGAATTTAAAAACATCTCTTTCATGTAAAAGTGATGTTTCAAGAATAAATTAGAGACTTTTTTCAAGATGGCTGACTAAACAATTGCATGCTGAATACAGTATCCAAAAGGAAATATGGGAGCTCAACAGACAAGTGATGGGAAACAGCAAAACCTAGGAAGGAGAAGAAAGGCAGCTGTTTTACCAGGATAGACCAGGAACTGTGAGTGACTTCCCAGAACGAGAGAGCATGAGTAACAGTATTTCGGACCTCCACTTTCCCCCTGGGGAATTTTACAATTCAGGTCTTGGGAGAGCACCTTGACCTCCAAAGCTCTAAATGTAACTCAGGTTGTGGCTGAGAGACTCAGAAGAAACAGCTTCAGGAAGGGGACACATCCTGGGTCCCACACACTTTCTGAAGCCTAAGCAGCTACAGCAAGATTTCATTCTTGATCCTAGTTTTGAGTAGACTATGCACAGACCTGGGAACCAGTGACAGCAGTCCTAGGAGTTAGGGAAACTTGGGCTGCTGCTTGCTGAACCAGGGCAAAAGTAAGGGGTGGGGTCATGCAACCAAGACTGAGAAGCAACCATGGCGTGGGATTTAGCTACTGTCACTGGAAGTTGAAACCACCCCCAAAATTGAGCAGGACAAGATACTGCGGAGGCTTAGCCTTGGGTTGGGGGAGGGATCCTATGGCAATCCTATGAGTTGTGGGCTAGGAGTGAATTGCTGGGTCTGAAGGAACAGCTAGGTCAGCTGTGACAGTCAGGACTGGGAAGCAAGCCCTGCTGGGACTGAGGCATGAGAAGGATGTAAGTCCCCTATCTGCCAGTAAAGGCTGTGGCTTCTGGGCCTGACCTCACCTACTATGGGAGAATGTAAGTGCAGTGGCATCTGCCTCTCACCCAAGCATTCTATCACAAGCCTTAGACCACCATACCCCTACCTGTCATGGATGGTGCATGCACTTGCCACTGGGGACCTGAGTGCAAGCTTGCTCAGTCAGATTCTACCCAGCTTCACCCCCATATGGAACAGAAAACAGAGTGTGAGATCCAGAGTCCTGGAGGATGCACAACCGAATTCACCACATGAAACACCTGAACACTCCTTCCAGGGTACTAGCGTTGAGCATAAACATCCTACCACTATGACCTCTGCTGCCTCCTACCTGCAAGCACTACCTGCTGGTCTGGAGGCCAGCCTGCAAAACCCATTGCAACCACTGCCAGGCACATAGCATTGGAAACCAAGGAAAGCCTCTCAACACCACTACCATTATTGCCATACTATGCCAGCCACCCAGGGGCTTGAGATCCTGCTCATCCACCTGGTACACTGCTACTACAACTCACATTTGAGAAAGCCACCCAGAGGCACAAGAATTAGCCTTTCTGGCATACCAATCCCCAGCACAACTTCACTACAGCCTCCACAAATAACTGCACTCTAACACACTGAAGAAAATACAGATACCAATAATGCTGTTTATAGTCAAAGAAATCATACAGAAACTTCACTACTACATGCACACAGAATAGAAGCCTACCTAACCAACATTATAGTAGCCTACCTAACAACATTATAGTAGCATCTGCAGGAAAAAGCTTTCACTACAGTGAAAGGATATTTTAAAAGAAGCAGCAGCAATATTTACAACAGATGTGCAGAAATCTAGTTAAAGACATGGGAAACATAAAAAAGTGAGGTAACATAGCACCCTCAGAGAACCACAATAATTCTCAAGCAATAAATATTAACCCAAAAGAAATTATCTAAATCCTAAAGTATTTAAAAATTGATTTTGAAAGAAGCTAAATGAGATGCAAGATAAATCTGAAAACCAATATAAAAAGCTCAGAAAAATAATTCAGAATATGAATGAGAAATTCATGAAGGATATAGATATCTTAAAAAATAAAATAAAAATAAAACAAGACAAAAAAGTCGGAAATCCTATAACTAAAGATTTTATTGAAGGAAACACAAAACATATTCAAAAGCTTCAACAATAGGCTAGAGCAAACAAACAGAAGGAAGAATTTCAGAACTTGAATACAGGTCTTTTGAAATAATTCAATTAGATAAAAACAAAGAAGAAAGAATTAAAATAATAAATAAAGCATTTGAGATGTTTGGGACAATATAGAGTGACCAAATGTATGGATTATTTGTATCTCTGAGATTGAAAAGACATTGAAAGGTTTAAACTTATTTAATGACATAACAGATGAAAACTTCCCAAATCGAGCAAGAGATCTAGGCATCTAAATACAGAAGGCTCAACAATCTCCAGGAAAATACAATGCATAAAGGATTTTGCCACGTCACATTATAATCAGACTGTCTAAAGGCAAAATGTAAGAGAAAATTCTGAAAACATCACAGGAAAACCATCTAGTTACAAGTACAGGAAATCTCATCAGACTAACAGTAGATTTTTCAGAAGAAGTCTTACAGGCCAGGAGAAAATGGGATACCATATTCGAAGTGCTGAAAGAAAAAAACTGGCAGGCAAGAATTTGATATCCAGCAAAATTAACCTACATAAATGAAGGAGAAATAAAGCCTTTTCCAGACAAGCAAATGCTAAGGAAATTTGTCACCAGTAAACCAGTTCTACAAAAATAGTTTAAGGGATTCCTAAACGTAGAAACAAAAGCACAATTTTTACCATCATGAAAACACACAAAAGTACCAAACTCACTGGTGAATCAATTAAACAATAGAGAAAAAGAAAGGAATCAAATGGCATCACCACAGAATCCTACCAACCACAATGAAAAAAACAGAAAAAAGAAAAAAAAATATGACACAACTAGAAAACAATTAACAATATGACAGAAACAAAACCTTACATATATACATTTACCTTGAACACAAATGGATTAGATGTTCCAGTTAAAAAGACAGACTGACTGAATGGATTAAAAAACCACCCAACTATATTTTCCTTACAAGAAACTCACCTTACCTGTAAAGACACATATCAACTGAAAGTAAGGGAATGACAAAGGATACTCCATGCAAACTGAAACCAAAAGCAAGCAGGAGCTATACTTTTACCAGAAAAAAACAGACTTAAAAACAGTAAAAGAGAAAAAGAAGGAAATTATATAATGATAAAGGAATAAGTTTGGCAAAAGGAAATCACAATTCTAAATATATATGTACCCAATTGTGGAGCACCCAGATTCATAAAACAAATATTACTAGACCTAAAAAGAGAGATAGAAATACAGTAATAATGGGAGGCTTCAACACCCCACTCACAGCATTAGACATATCATCTAGACAAAAAAAAATCAGCCAAAAATATTGAATTTAAGTTGGACTTTAGACAAGATGGACATTATAGACATTTACAGAATATTCTACCCAATAACTGCAGAATATACATTCTTTTCAACAGCACATGGAACATTCTCCAAAATAGACTATAGTTTAGGCCACAAAACAGGTCTCAGCACATTTTCTAAAAATCAAAATTATATCAAGTGTCTTCTCAGGCCATAGTGGAACAAAACTAGAAATCGATACCAAGAAAAACTTTGGAACCCATAAAAGTATGTGAATTAAGCAACATTATCTTGAATGATCACTGGGTCAGTGAAGAAATTAAGACAGGAATCAAACATTTTTTTGAAACAAGTGAAAATAAAATGAAATTTGTAGGACACAGCAAAAACAGTGTTAAGAAGGAAGTTTATATCATTAAATGCCTACCTCAAAAAAATAGAGAGACTACAAATTAATCTAATGATGCATCTCAAGAAATTAGAAAAGCAAGAACAAATAAAATTCCAATTTATCAGGACAAGAGAAACAAAGCTCAGAGCAGAACTAAATGAAATACAGACTAAGAAAATAATACAAAGAATTGAGGAAACAAAAAGTTGGTCCTATGAAAGAAAAACAAAATTGATAAACTGCTAGCTAAACTAACAAAGATAAGAAGAGAGAACATCCAAACAAGTTCAGAATGAAAAAAGGAGACATTACAACTGATAACACAGAAATATAAAAGATTATCATAAATTATTATATTTGCATGCTTACAAACTAGAAAACCTAGAGAAAACGATAAATTCATGAGCACAAAATCTACTAAGATTGAGCCACGAAGAGATAAAAAACCTGAACAGCCCAATAATGAGGAGTAGCAAGATTGAACCTGTAATAATAATTTTAAAAAACTCCCAAGGAAAAAAATCCCAGGAGCAATAAAATCACAGATGAGTACTACCAAATATACAAAGAAAAACTAATTTCAATTCTCCAGAAACTGCTCCAAAAATTGAAGAAGGAATTTTTTCTTAACTCTTTCTACAAGGCCAATATTATCCTGACACCAAAACCAGATAAAGACACAACAAAAATCAAAACTACAGACCAATATGCCTGATGACCATTGATGCAAAACTTAATAACAAAATACCAGCAAACTGAATCCAACAGCACATCAAAAAGGTAATACACCATGATCAAATGGTATTTACCTCAGGGATGTAAGAATGGCTTACATATGCAAATCAATAAATGTGCTACATCACATAAACAGAATCAAAGGCAAAATACCATGTGATCATCTTAACAGACGCACAAAAAGCATTTGATAAAATTCATCATTCCTTCATGATAAAAACCCTCAACATAGCAGGCAGAGAAGGAACATATCTCAAAATAACAAAGGCTATATAAGCCAAGGAAGAGTTGCAAGTATTTCTCCTAAGAACTGGAACAAGACAAGGATGCCCACTTTCACCATGACTATTCAACATATTACTGGAAGTCCTAACCAGAGCAATCAGGCAAGAAAAAGAAATAAAAGACATACAAATTGGAAAAGAAGATGACAAACTGTTCTTCTTTGCTGATGATATTTTCTTATATCTATAAAAACTTAGTCTCCTCCAAAAACCTCTTAGATGTGATAAATTAATTCAGTAAAGTTGCCGGATACAAAGGTAAAGCACAAAAATCAGTAGCATTTCTATACACCAATAATGATGTAACTCAGCAAGAAATAAAGAAAGAAATTCTACTTAACAAAGCAACAACAACAAAAATAACTGAGATTAAATTTAACCAAGGAGGTGAAAGATCTCTACAAAAAAACTACAACACTGATGAAAGAAATTGTAGATGACACAAACAAATGGAAAAAGGTTTCATACTCATGAAACACAAAAATAAACATTGTTAAAAGGACCATACTTCCCAATCTACAGATTCAATGAAATCCTTATCAAAATACCAATGTCATTTTTCATATGTAGATCAATGGAACATAATAGAGAGCTTAGAAACAAAGCTATATATTTAAAGCCAACTGGTCCTTGACAAAATCAACAAGAAAAGACATTGGGGAAAATATACTGTTTTCAATAAATGGTGCTGGGAAAACTGAATTGTCATATGCAGAATAATAAAACTAGCCCATCTTACCACATACAAAATTCAAATCAAGATGGATTAAAAACTTGAATGTAAGTCTCAAAATTATAGAAGAAAACCTAGGGAAAACTCTTCTGGACATTGGTTCAGACAAAGAATTTATGACTAAGACCTCAAAAGCACAGGCATGAAAAACAAAAATAGACAAATGAGACTTAATTAAACTACAAAACTTCTGCACAGCAAAAGAAACAATCAACAGAGTAAAGAGACAACCAGAAGAATGGGAGAAAATATTTGCAAACTATGTATCTGACAGTGGACTAATATCCAGAATATATAAGGAACTCAAACAATTCCACATTAAGAAAACAAATGATTTCATCAAAAAATGGGCAAAGGATATGAACAGACATTTCTCAAAAGAAGACATACAAATGGCCAACAGGTATGTAAAAATATGCTCAACATCACTAATCACTAGGGAAATGCAAATCAAAACCACAGTGAGACATTATCTTACCCGAGTCAGAACGGCTATTATAAAAAGGACAAAAAATAACAGATGTCATTGAGGAGGTGGAGAAAAGGAAACTCTTACACATTGTTGGAATGTAAATTAGTACAGTGTCATGGAAAACAGTATGGATATTTCCCAAAGAAATAAAATTAGAACTACCATTTATTTATTCCAGCAATCCCACTACTAGATATTTATCCAAAAGAAAAGAAATCAATATATCAAAAAGATATCTTCATTCATATGTTTATCACAGCACTATTCATAATAGCAAAGATATAAAATTATCCTAAGTATCCATCACTGGATGAATGAGTAAATAAAATGTAGACTACATACACAACAGAACACTATTCAGCCATAAAAAAGGATGAAATTATGTCCTTTGCAGCAATATAAGTGGAACTGAAAGTTATTGTCTTAAGTGAAACAGACCAGTCACAGAAAGTCAAACATCACATCTTCTCACTTATCATTGGGTGGTAAAAAATGTATACTCATGAACGTAGAGAATGGAAGCGCAGAAAATGTAGACTCAGAAGGCAGACCACATGGGAAGGGGGTAGATGATGAAAAATTAGTTAATGTGTACAATGGGTACCCATTATTATTATCATTTGGGTAATGTATATCCTAAAAGCCCTGACTTGACAAGTACACAGTCTATGCATGTAACAAAATTGCACATGTACCTATAAATTTGTACAAATTTTAAAACAAGTTAGAAAATAATCGCATTTTGAAAGAAACTCTCACTGTGGAGAGATAAAAAATAGACGGTTAGAATTGTTTCCATTCCTAGGGGTATTACTGCCAAAAATGCTGTATATCATCCCTAAAAACATTGATATCTGGAGTCTATATCATCTCAGAAACATACATTTTTTTATCTTCCTAAAATCTTTGAAGTGGTTTGAATACTATTTTAAAAATATAAAAATGGAATATTTTGCAGTTAGGTTGATAAACGATCAATTGAATCACAGAAGAATAAATTTTATGAGATGAAATTTAACATAAACTTTGCATAATTGGTAAATAAACTTAAATTTTTGTGTAATTTTTTAAGTACAGTCACCTTTTTACAATTTGGATTACTTTTTTTTTTCAGTTATGACAGTCAAAAATCAGGAATTTAAAAAAGAAGCCAAAATTAGACCTTTTTATTGCTATGTCACAAAATGCTAAAGCAAGATTAAAAATAAAGGAGGCATATTTAATCACATTGCTTTTCCAAAAGAATAATGTACGTATATATTGTTAATACTGTTTTAGCAAGAAGAAAAAAGATTTTACGTTTTTTTGTTTGTTTGTTCGTTTTGAGAGGGAGTCTCGCTCTGTAACCCAGGCTGGAGTGCAGTGGTGCAATCTCGGCTCACTTCAACCTACGCCTCCCGGATTCAAACAATTCGCCTGCCTCCGCCTTCTGAGTAGCTGGGATTACAGGTGTGTGCCATCACGCCTGGCTAATTTTTGTATTTTTAGTAGAGAGGGGTTTCACCATGTTGGCCAGGCTGGTGTTGAACTCCTGACCTCATGATCCGTCCGCCTCAGCCTCCCAAAGCGCTGGGATTACAGGCATGAGCCACCACACCTGGTCAGATTTTACATTTTTAATAATGTGTTATGTCATTCTTTTAGTCTGTTTGTATATATAATACATTAGTACAATAACACATGGTAGTTATTTTTAGATATAAATAAATATTCATATATTGGCAAAGTCCAATTGATTTACTGTGAGCTATCAAAAATTTTAAATGTTTGGATGATTCATTTCCTAGTGTACTCTGTATGTCTTTACTTCCTAATTACATTTAGAAAGAGATTTGGAACATATATTTTTTAACTTCCCAATATTTGCCTTTAAAATATTAACATCGAAAAAATTAAGTGATAATAACAATTACTATTGCCTATTGAATGCTATGCCAGAAATTATATGGGTGCTTTGCAGTGTAGTTTAAAATTCTCAGGAAGGCTTCGTTTAAACCTCACAGCATATCTATAAGGCAGACAATATTATCCTTTTATGACATAGAAATAAATTGAGTCAAAGGAGCTAAACAAGTTTTTCAAGTTTACAAAGCTAGTATGAGACAAAATTGTGATCTAAATACATTTCTTTCTGGATCTGAGTAATAATATTTCAGATAAATAATTATAGTAATAATAATGTCTATGATTCATTGAGTTTTTATTATATGCCAGTATTCTAAGTGCTTTATCTTATATCATAATCCTTATAAGTCTGGGCATGGTGGCTCATGCCTGTAATCCTAGTACTTTAGGATGACCGAGGTAGGTGGATTGCTTGAGCCCAGGAGTTCAAGAATAGCCTGGGCAACACGGCGAAACCCTGTCTCTACAATAAATATTTAAAAATTAGCCAGGCACAGTGGTGAGTGCCTATAGTCCTAGCTACTCAGGACGCTAAGGTGGGAGGATCGCTTGAGCCCTGGAGGTTGAGGCTGCAGTGAGCCAAGATCATGCCACTGCACTCAAGCCTGGGTGACAGGGTGAAACCCTGCCTCAAAAAAAAAAAAAAAAATCCTCATATGAATTCTATGAAGTAGATGCTATTACAATTTTCCTGTACAGAGTGTAATAAGTACAGTTTAAAATACAGTTGATGTTACGAGTGAAAGCTGGTAGTTAGTGAAGCCAGTATTTAAATCCTCGTGTCCATGCTCTTCAGTACCCCATGCTGCCTCTTTAGAATACGACATCCTTCTAACATTCACCACAATAATAGTATCATTGCTGACTTCATCATCTTAAGACCATTTCTAGGTTTTTATACTTATACATTATGTTTCCAAATAGTTAAGATTAATAAATATCATAATGTTAGAGGCAAAAGCCAAACAAGATAAATTTGAAAGTTGAAAAATTTATATACATAAGTTCTGGACTCCTTTAGATATTTTAAGCCTAAGTATTTTGTTTACTTATGTAACTTAGCTTTAGAATTGTCTGACTTCTCCACTTCTCTGAGAATATCTGCTGGGTAGGAATGATGTGAAGGAGAATTTGTCTCATAATTAGATGATAGTGCTTAAGATATTCACTGTAAATTCTGTGACAAATTGATGAGCCCTTGTTGAAAGCAAAATTATTAAAATGTCACTTGTGAATTTTATGCTCCAGGCTTTCTACCTTGTGGCAACCTGGAATTCAAGCCACTATCAGAATATTTTGATTTGAACACTGTAGTTTATCTATTCCTAAGTGCCCTAAAAATCTATCCTATGTAGCTATTGTTAGCTATTGATGGAAATGTCTTCATAGTAAATGGGATATAAGATTCAGTACCAGGCAAATATATATTTGGCTTGCCATGATGAAAATCCTTTTGTTAGGTCCTGAGGAATCTTAAGTTTAAACTGGCTTGTGCTTTTCCCCATAGTCTGTGGAAGACTCACCAGGACTGTATAGTTTCATTTCTATTGAAAGAAAATTTAGTCTCAATTCACTGATTATGATGCTATGTTGTATTAAGTCTCCTACTATGCTAAACCAGCTGGACACACTTGACTAACTCTGGAAGACAGTGGATGAATACGTTAGCTGTCTGGCCCAAATTCTAACTTTCCATCTGTGAGTTGGCTCCATTTGCTGATGCTCTACACAGGAGATTAATTTTTTAAAAGTTAGAGGAGTATTTTTAAGGACAGTGGAAAGGGGAGCACAGAAAATAAAGATAGAGAAAGCATTTTGAAATAAAATTGTTATTATTCACTGGGATTTTCAAACTTAGACCTTTTTTTCTTTCCCTGAGAAATAACTCAGGAGCTCTAGATAAAAGAGTTACAGGAAACAGATTTTTAATGCACTTCAATTCAATTCAACAAATATTGATTCATCACTCTCCACTAGGAGTAAATCAAAATGGAATCTTTTTCTTGAGTAATAGGGTATTTTTTAACAAACGTACAGATTTAGTAACCTTGTCTATGACCTTTCAAACAAATCTCTGAAGAGAACCAAACATTAGGCAAGTCCAGCACTGCCCCCACAGGTTCTCTCTCCATCCATTTAGCTACCAATCTATAATCTTATTTATAAAGGGCAATGAAACATAGATCATGAAGATAAATATTCAAGTAGTTTGATGTTTTCTTCAAAGACAAAAATGTTTCTTGAGGAGAATTATATCATTGAACAATGGTAAAAATTATAACTTTAATCATATACTGAAATACTTCATGTACTTTACAAACAATATTATTTTTAATTAATATTCTGACATAGTGACAATACTTTGTCATATATTAGATAATGGAAATACTGTAAATAAATTAAACTTACTGCGGAGACCATTATGTGAACTTCTGATACAGGCAAAAGAGAATACAGATGTTATTATTTCCAGAAATTTTCAATGTGAGCAAAGGCTTCATCACCCTTCCTTAAGATAACATTTCATAAAAATTTTAATAAACATCTATTAAGGACTACCTATACGTCAACTGCAGCTTTTAACATTTAGCAAGAGGAAAAAATGCAAAAGCATATGATTACAATATTATGTGGTGAGTGTGATAATAAAGGTAAGAGCAGAAAAGGTGTTACCATGGCTGCCTACAGATAGTGTGTAAGGATAGCTAAGAAACAAGTCTTCAAAGAAGAGTGGACTTAATGTACTTTTTAAAGAACATACTTAGTTAATTTTTAAATTCAGATAAGAAAGAATACATCTTAGCATAAGTATGTGTCTAACGTTGCATGGGATATACTTATGTTAAAAATATTTGTGGCATATCTGAATCTTAAATTTAACCAGGCACTCTTTTTTATTTGCTACTGACCACCCCACTGTTATGTCAGGCTTAGAACTGGAATATCATTGCTTCTGAGCAAATTTCATTGGCCAAAAAAAGCTACATGGAAGAGCCTAAAGTGTCAGGTACATTCAAGTCAAGAAAAGGAGGGAATAAGTATTTTCAGTAACAATCTAATCTACCACGACTTGTCAAGCCTGGAAAAAGGATCAATATAACATAAGTTAGATGTTTTAAATGCTTTTTTCTGAAAAAAAAAATGGTTGCTTTATTTTACTCAGTTTTGAAAAATCTGCTTTTGTGAGCAATATAAAATGATATTATAATAAGGTTCATAGGCCATAATGCAAAGTTAGTCTCAGTGGCTTTGTTCATACCTTTTACAGAAAGAGTAACATACAAATATTTCCAAATAGTATGTCAGTTAAATTTAAATACCCATTTCCTAAAGTAATAGCGCTTTTTAATTTCTCCATGCATAATTTTGTGCCAATTTGCATTAAAACAATTGTATGTTACCTGAATATTTCTTTTTATTATTCCTAGCTACAGTGTTTCATCTCTGAGTTAGAAGATTCACTCTAAGTACAGCTCCAAACATCTTTACACGTTGGAAGTTTCTAAATGGCATATTTATTCTATGGACTATTTTATAAAATCAGATTGCACTCAACCATCTCTGGTAATTCTAATCTGGTAACAGTGTTGTTGCATTCTGGATAAACAGATTATTTTCTCTTGCCCTAGTTTGGATATGATTTGTGCTTACTCAGTTCCAGCTATATCCTCTGGCATGCTTTTAAAATACATGCTTTTAAAATACAAGGTGAAGCATTACTGATATTATCTCACAGCAAAAATCATTCAGAAGCAAGCAAGCAGATAAGCAGGGACACTGATAATGTAGGAGTATATCTTGACTATTTCAGTGAGGAACTCATATTGTGAGAGGTCTGCAACCTTTGGAGGCACTGTATACATAATTTACTCATTTATTCATTATTCATTCTACAGGTATTTCTTAAGTGTCTATAACATGGTAGACAGTACACAAAATGCTGAGATGCAGGGTGAAAAGAAGAGCAATCTTCTAAAATAATATAATAAATACTTTTTAACTATAAGACAACATATCACACACTTTGCATACACTGCTTCATGTAATCTTCATTGCAAGCCAGATAAATTGAAAGTTTATTAGTCATTATACTGGTTAAGAAACTGAGGCTCATGACGTCAGACTTGTCAATGATCATAAAATTAACGATTCATGGAACCAGATTTTAAACTCCAATCTCTTTTTTCCTTTATAAACCATGCTTTATATACTAATTTTACTATATGGAAATAAAAACTTCTAGGAATATAGAAGACAGCATTATGTAGGATTTGAGAACACGTACTTTGGAGTCAAATAAATGCAGGTTCAATTTTTTAACTAACACAAGTGAAATCCTGGGCAAGTGACTTAAAGTTCTAATGTTAAATTTATTTACAAAGGGATAAAAGGACAAAATAGCACTGATATCACAGGTTTCTTTACTAGCATTATGCTTGGAACACAACGCACAAGACTCTAAGTACTAAGTAAATCCTTGTGGAATAAATGTAGTAAAACATATTAAGCATTTTGCATACTCCTCCTAGCACACCATCAGTACTTAACAAATGTTAAATTCCGGAAACTCCCCTGACTACTGGAGCTCTGATTTCTAGGTAAGTTCCTAATTCTTTTTCAAATGTAGTTTTTTTCTTATGTTACCTATCCCTCTGTTCTCTAATAAAGGCAATTTTCCACCCAGTAGTGGTTAGTACTCTGAATTAACTTATCTAAATCAATGAAAATAATAGTGAACCTCTGCTTTATTGTGTTATATGGGAAACATTGTTATCACTGATTTCGTTATATCACATTTAATCCACCCAGTAATTCCAAGAGGACACTAGGTTTCATAGAGTTTAATGAGAGACAAGAAATAAGAGCTTGGTTTTATACTCTCACTCCTTATCATAATAATCAAACTCAGTGATATTTCACAGACCTATGAGTTTTATAAAATACCTGAATCTGGTTGTGTATATACAAGATACATAAAGATAATGAAAAGTAGTTAATTGGTCTGGGTCAATTTTTTGTATCTGTATAATTATTCTGAATTGCCATAGTTGTACTGTGGGCATCTGTACTAATTGTTAAGTATGCTCTGGCCCGAGAGAGTGATCAGTTTTAGAATAATTTTGTACAGTATTCTGCTGCACGAAACCACTGCTTTATTCCCCAAAAAATCAGGATACATTCTGCTTAAGGAAAATCTCCAGACACAGCTTTTGCAAACAGGTTGGTATGGTTTACCACTATTGGCTTGGAGGAAAGCAGAGAATAAACCTGACATTTTTGTTTGACCAAAAGGATGCTGTGCTATCTATCAATATAAAGAGTACAGGATGGTTAAGTTATTTTTATTTTTAAAGGTATGATTTTAAACAACACAAATTTGTCTAGGAGCTCAATTTTAAGTCAAATTAATTCCAAGATGTAATATAAGGTACAAGACAGTATAAAATGGCCTAGGACTCAGAGTAATTTGATTTGAATTCTACTTCCTCCTTCTACCAGCTGTGTGAAATTGGGAATTTACTTGTAATCTCTTTTTTTCTCATGTGTAAATAAGGACGATATTATCTCCTTTAAGGATGATATGTAATAAGGTTGACACAATGCATGGAAAGTGCTCAGCACAGAGCATAGCATAGTACAGGATACCCAGCTAAGGAGGTCTAGTATGCAATTTAATACATGGCTCTAGAGCTCAGGGCAAAGTTGGAGCTAGAGAAAGAGGTTTGAGAGAGTCCCCACTACACAGATAATAGCATATAAAAATGACATCATATTTGAGAAAGGGGTAGTTTGAAGATCACAGAATTCAGTTGATCTGAAGAAGCCATTCAAATGAAAGCCTCGTTGCTAGTTATAACCTTAATGTTGAATGTAGTTAATCATGTTTTGAGTGCAGGTCCTATAACCAGAAAGAAAATGAGAGCTCTGGAGACCCAGAATGACAAGCCAGTGATTGTGACTGTTCAATGGTGTGTCCATGCTGATTTAAAACTAAATAATCATCACTCCATTGGTGAGTCCAATGATGCTTTTATCACAGCAGGATAAATTCCTCTTGTCAAAATTGGCACCCATTATGCAAATGAAATTTGAAGGGTTCATTAGCTAAATGGTAATTGGAATAACTTGCATTAAAGAAATGATATAGAAAATTTCCATCTAGCAAAATTACTTTGTTTCTACCATAACCTTTAAAATGTTTATCAGTGAATAATACATCAAAATTCTAAAATTATAGATATTTAATGGCTTCATAGCTGACATTCTGTTCATGATGCATTTTTAAATTTGTTTTTTTCCTGGCTATTTCTTTGGTTACTGCCTCCGGTACTAACAGGAAAGATATTGTCCATTATTTCAAGGCACAGCATTGTATTGACAGCTTACAGACATGTACAATCAACAAGGTTTGAAAGAACATTCAAAGCTTTCCTAATCATCTCAGGTAGATCTATAAATACCTCATATGTGCTGCAATAATAACATCTATCACTGGCCTTGTTCATGCAATAAGTTTTAAAGTATTTCTTCTTCAATTTTTCTGGAAAAACATTTGTATTGAATCAGCATTATTTTCCTAAAATGTTTGCTAGAATTTAACAGTGCAACCATCTGAGCTTTATCTGTGGAACATTTTAATTTGAAGTGAGGCAGCATATGGTTAAGTCTGGCTTTTTAAACCGAATATAACAATCTCTATCTTTAAATTGATGCACTTAGATCATTTACATTGATCTTAACTACTGACATAGTTAAGTTTAAAGCTATCGTCTTGCTATTTATTTTCTATTTATTTTCTCTTGTTTCCTTTTTTGTCTTCCATTGAGTTCACTGAGTATTTTTTATGATTCTATTTTATTTCTGTTATTGTCTTATTAGCTATAAATCATTTTAGTGGTTGCATTAGAATGTATAGCATTCATCTTTAACTCATTTAGTAAACCTCTAAGTGATATTATTTTACTTCATGTATAGTATGAGTCTTAGAATAGTATACTTTTAAAAATAGACTTTATTTTTTAGCGAAGTTTTATGTTCATAGCATAATTGAGCAGAAGTTACAAAGGTTCCCCATATACCTCCTGTCCCCATGCATGCATAGCCTTCCCCATTATCAACATCCCCCACCAGAGTGGTTCATTTGTGAGAATTAATGAACCTATATTGACACCTCACTATCACCCAAATCCCATAGTTTACATTAGGTTTTACTCTTGGTGTTGTAAATTCTGTGGGTCTGGACAAATGTATAATGACATGTATCCACTTTTATAGTATCATACAGAATAGCTTTCCTACACTAAAAGTTCTCGGCTGGGGATGGTGGCTCATGCCTGTAATCCCAGCACTTTGGGAAGCTGAGGCAGGTGGAGCACCTGAGGTCAGGAGTTTGAGACCAGCCTGGTCAACATGACAGAACCTCGTCTCTACTAATAATACAAAAATTAGCAGGGCGTGGTGGTACACGCCTGTAGTCCCAGCTGCTTGGGAGGCTGAGGCAGGAGAATCATCTGAACCCAGGAGACAGAGGTTGCAGTGAGCCAAGATCATGCTACTGCACTCTAGCCTGGGCAACAGAGTGAGACCCTGTCTCAAAAAAAATAAAAATAAATAAATTCTCTGTACTTCACTTGTTCATCCTTGTTTTCCTCAACCTCTAGACAACCATGAATTGTTTTAATGTCTCCATCATTTCCCTCTCCTCAAATGTCGTATACTTAGACTCATAGAATATGTTGCCTTTTCAAATTGTCTTCTTTCTCTTAATAATATGCATATAGGTTTTCTCTCTTTTTTCATGGCTTGATAGCCATTTCTTTTGAGTGATGAATAATATTTTATTGTATGTACCACAATTTATTTCTCTATTCACTTATTGAAGGATATCTTTGTTGCTTCCAAGTTTGGGCAATTATGAATAAAGTTGCTGTAAACAATTATATGTAATTTTTTGTGTGGATATAAGTTTTCAGCTTCTTTGGGTAAATACCAAGGAGGATGATTGGTGGATCATATAGTAGGAGTATGTTTAGTTTTGTTAAAAACTGCCAGCCAAACTGTCTTTCATAGTGGCTATATCATTTTGCATTCCTACCAGCAATGAATGAGAGTTCCTGTTGCTCCACGTCCTTATCAGCATTTGGAATACTTTTGTTTTTCCCTGCTTGGCCTTAATGCCATACATTTTACCATTATATCTGTAATAAAATCTATAAGGTACTGTTATTTGTTTTGATTTTTATAGCTAATATCTTTTTATTATTATACTTTAAGTTCTGGGATACATGTGCAGAATGTGCAGGTTCATTACATAGGTATATACATGCCATGTTGGTTTGCTGCATCCATCAACCCATCATCTACATTAAGTATTTCTCCTAATGCTATCCCTCCCCTAGCCCCCCACCCTGGACAGGCCCTGGTGTGTGATGTTCCCCTCCCCGTGTCCATGTGTTCTCATTGTTCAACTCCCACTTATGAGTGAGAACATGTGGTTTTTGGTTTTCTGTTCCTGTGTTAGTTTGCTGAGAATGATGGTTTCCAGCTTCATCTATGTCCCTGCAAAAGACATGATATCATTCTTATTTATGGCTGCATAGAATTCCATGGTGTATATGTGCCACATTTTCTTTATCCAGTCTATCACTGATGGGCATTTGGGTTGGTTCCAAGTCTTTGCTGTTGTGAACAGTGCCACAATAAACATACGTGTGCATGTGTCTTTATAGTAGAATGACCTACAATCCTTTGGGTATATACCCAGTAATGGGATTCCTGGGTAGAATGATATTTCTGGTTCCAGATCTTTGGGGAATCACCACAGTGTCTTCCACAGTGGTTGAACTAATTTACACTCCCACCAACAGTGTAAAAGCATTTCTATTTCTCCACATCCTCTCCAGCATCTGTTGTTTCCTGACTTTTTAATGATCGCCATTCTAACTGGTGTGAGATGGTATCTCATTGTGGTTTTGATTTGCATTTCTCTAATGACCAGTGATGATTAGCTTTTCTCATATGTTTGTTGGCTGCATAAATGTCTTCTTTTGAGAAGTGTCTGTTCATATCCTTCTCCCAATTTTTGATTCGGTTGTTTTTCTTCCTTGTAAATTTGTTTAAGTTATTTGTAGATTCTGGATATCAGCCTTTTGTCAGATGTATAGATTGCAAAAATTTTCTCCCATTTTGTAGGTTGCCTGTTCACTCTGATGATAGTTTCTTTTGCTGTGCAAAAGAAGCTCTTAATATCTTTTAAAGAGAACTAATAATAAATAATATTATATTTACCCACATGGTTATCATTTCTAGTGCTCTTATGAGTGAGAACATGTGGTGTTTGGTTTTCTGTTCCTGTGTTAGTTTGCTGAGAATGATGGTTTCCAACCTTATCCATGTCCCTACAAAAGACATGAACATTCATTTGTGTGGAGCCATATTTCCATCTCCATTTTATTTTGTTCTGCCTAGAGGACTTTTTAATATTTTTTGTAGTGTGAATTAACTGGTAATAAATTATTTCAGCTTTTGTATGTATGTCTGACAGTGAGTTTATGTTATATAGCCTTCACTTTTGAAATATATTTGTGCTGGGTATAGAATTCTAGGTTGAGAGTTTTTTCTTTCAATACTTTAAAGACTTAGCTATATTTTCTTCTCATTTGTATTGCTGTCAAAAAGAAATCTGCTGTTACCCTTAAATTTATTCTTCTGCATGAAATTCATCTTGTTTTCCCTCTGGTTAAAGTTCAAATCTTTAAATTCGTCACAAGCTTTGAGTATTTTAATCATGATGTGCCTTGGTTTAGTTTTCCTCATAGTTTTTATGTTTGGGGTTCATAGAGTTTCTTGGATTCACAGATTTACTTCTCCTCCCTCTACCTCAGGGACTCTGATTATCCATATATTATGTTTCTTAAAGTTATTTCACAGCTCATTAATGTTGTTTTATTGATTTTGTTTTCTTTTATCTTTTTGCTTCAGTTTGGATGCTTTCTAGTTATGTCTTCAAATTCAAAATTTTTTCTTCTACTATATCTAATATGCCTTTAATCTTCTCTAGGTTATCATCTAGTACATTTTTAATCACTGTCATTGTAGTTTTAATCCTCATAATTCAGATTCCAACCTTTTTTATATCTTATGTGTCTTCTCTTAACTTTTTGAACATATAGAATATAGTTATAGTAACTAATTAAACATCTTTGCCTACTAATTCTAAGATCTATTTCTATTCTGGATCCACCTCAACTTACTAATTATTCTCATTGTGAGCCATGTTTTTCTGCTTTCTCAGTATACCTGAAAATATTTGATTGGATGCCACACATTTTGAATTTTACCTTGTTGAATGGTGGATATTTTTGTACTCCCAATTTAAGCTTTGTTGTGTTTAATTTAGTAATTTAAAGTTGTTTAATACTTGAAAACAGTTTGATTCTTTCGGGTATGGATATTATGCTTTGCAAGGTGGGTTTTCAGCAGTGCTCCAACTAGGGCTAATTATTTTTCACTCCTGAGAGAAGACCTTCTTGATTAGTCTACCTAATACCCTGTCAATTAGTTTCTCCATTTAAGATGGTGGGAAGAGGCACTGCTCCCAACCCTGTATGAATATAAAGGTAGTAATCCCTTTTTTCTCTAGCCTCAGGTTATTTCTTCACATGCACACACTGATTACTCCACAACTGAATAGTTGAGAGGTATCCTCTGCAAATCTCAAGGTTTTTTTCTTTTTTTTTTTTTTCCTTCATGCAGCTCTCTGTTATTCTGTCATGTCACTTTGGTTTTCCTGATCTTGCTTCTCATCTTCTCAATTAAGGAAGTTGGTTGGCTTCTGCCTGAGTCTTCTCTCAGTGAGCTACAGCCTAGAAACTCTCTCAAGCTGCTAAGCTTGGGTAATTATAAGGCTTACTTCATTTGTTTCCTGTCTTTTATGGTTTATCATCTTTTGTAGCTAATTCTACTGTCTTGAAAACAAGTGTTTCATATATTTGTCTGTCTTCTTTTTTGTGTTTTTCTGCGTTATTTTGGCATTGAGTGAAAATCCAAATTCTGAGACTGCATCATATTTTATTTTAGCTATAAATACAGTATGTGAATTCATATTTTCCCCAAAATAGCCTGTGCTCTTAACTATTATGCTATGCCACAATATTGCAGATGCTACTGTGTTACTTTTAGAGAAAAAGAGAGTATCATCTTTTCTTCTACAGGGAATAGTAAAGATAAACACGGAGGTACTAAGCGGGAGGATGGAGAATTCACACCTCACTGAAGGAATAGAAAAAGTTGTCATCTGTAAGGAGAGGTGGGTGAAAGAAAAGGAATGGAAGGCCAAAGCCTAGATCTGCCACTGAAGGGAGGCAGCCAGAAATCCAATGAGGGATGAACGAGAGCATTGCCAAGCAAGTGTCCTCAGCCAAGTTGTGGTTGGAGAGCACAAGCGTCTAGTAAGCCAAGCTTGATGGCTACAGCTAACACTGTAGCCCAGAAGTAGGAACAGAGTAGAGAAAGCAAAATGTGAGGATAATGCAGGGCTTGCTACTGAAATGCCAAGAGATGGCTGTGTCAAAGCAAGGGAGTATATCAGCAAATGAGGTAACAGAATTCAGGTGTCTGGATTGGAAAAAAAAATCACATTTAACCATGAGAAGACTCATTTAATAATTTAAGAGAATAATATTTAAAAATGTAAATATGATGGAAAAGAATTTTTGTCTCTAAGAAGAAGGAAGGCAAGCGATGACAAGTTATTTTGTTTTTGGACAGTACTGAAGGAACTCAGGGACAGTATTTTATTTTGTTATTTGTGGCAGATGGCCAATATGAAGTGGAAATTAAGATTAACAGAAAAAGAGGGTAATTGACCATTAGACCAAGTATCTGAAAGATAGTGAGTGCTTACAAAGAAATGATATTGTTGAGTCAAATACTGGAGAACTCCAGTCAGGATGACACTAACAGAAGAGGGTTGATGTAGATGCATTAATATAATCTCCAGTGCTGAAGAGCTGAGGGATGATGGTCAATCAGTTCATTATGGTTCCAGGCTGATATCACTACATGTGATATTTCCAGCTCAATTACAGGCAACCATAAAGTCTTGCCTGGCAGGACTCATGGAAGGAAATTGCCCATTCTACACAAGTCTTGGTGCACTGTAGTTTTCTGAAAGGAGTTTCAGTCAAGTACTCAAGCCACTCCCACTTCCCCGAGTCAGCCATGCTCATGTACATATCTGCATTCTAGCCTAAGTGCTTCATTCAAAATCTCTGCTCTGGTGGCCTTGGCTGAGGTATTTTTCTCCACTTTAACTCAGTACTTTTCCACTCCTCCCCTCCATCCCTGAACCACTGGTCCATAAAAAAGGCAGGAGCCTTTCATTCAGGTCTCTTGGGCAGTAAGACAATTCTCCCCTGACCCCCATCCCCTTACCAACTCCTTGTCTGCACTGATCCACCTGACCCTTACCTACTGCTGTTCCACAGGGAAAAAAAAGAAACGCCAGTGAGCCAGTGCCAACGTTTGCCTCTTGATTGCTATGCCACAGTCAGTGAATAAAAGCTTGATTGTTACTTTAAGTTTGGCTCATTGTCCTGATTGACCATCTCAACACCTGGTTCTTCAATGGCCAGGGACTAAAAAAATGATCATTTTCAAACTAAAATGAAATCACTTCAAGTTTCATATCAAACTTAAAATTATAAAGGCTTCTCTAGTTTCAGTGAATGACTGCTATATCTTCCTGGCACAAAGTTTTACACATGAAGACTCTTTCCTCTGAGTTTCTGCAAAATGGACAAAAGGCCAGAAAACTAATTAGTAAGATTAATCGTGGCATTCTTAATATTCAATACCTACTGTCACAATTAGGTCAATTAAACAAAACTTGATGCTGATTACTTAAAAACACCATGACAAAATATGTGGCTGATATTAAAACTGTTCTTTGAAGATCAGACGCTTCCTAATTTCCTGTAATTTACAGCATTGAATTCAGTGTGTTAACTATAGCAGTCACACAGTAAACATTTGTGATTTTCAACTAAATTAGGTACTCAGGCTGGTGTATTGTTTTATTTTGTTTTGTTTTAAATTTGACCTTTCTCATTTACACAACATTTAATCACCTTTTTTTATCAAATACTTTATGGTGTGTCTACTACATTTCAGCCACTTCACTAAGCATTAAGATATAAAGATGAAAAATACTGGTACCTGACCTCAATGAAATATCAGTGTTTATGCAATGCTAGCTCTCTTATGAACAGCATGATTCAGTGTTGGTAAGAATAGTTTTTATAAAACTGTACTAAAATATTAAGAGGAAAATAAGAAAATTTTAAACATCAAATGCAATAGAGAGAAATGATGTTCCATGTTGTATAATAAAAAAACATAGATTCATTTCTTAAAGTTTCCCAGAACATGGCAGGAAAGCAAATATCCTCCTTAGTTTTTCTATGTTCGTACAAGATTTTCTCCAGTCTTTGATTATTTTTCTCCCAGCATTGAAGACTTGCCTTGAAAACATTACCTATTTGCGGCTTTAAGAATCTAAGTAAAAGATCCTTTCCCTCCTTTCCTTTCTCTCTCTCTTCCTTTCCCTACATCTACTTCCTTCCTTTTTACTTTTATAATCATAGAGGATTTAGAAAGCAGCTACCTGGGGAGAAAAAAATCAATGCTATGTTTTTATCTCAATAAAAAAGATGTATCAAGAAATTTGTTAGGTAAATCTTAGACCTAGATCTGCTTTTTTATGTGTGATGTAGTGAATTAACAACAGAAAAAGTGAAGCAAAAATATAAGTGGTTTAAATTCACATAGGATTTCCTCTTAGAAATGCTTAATGATTTGCTTGATTCTAATTGCAGTACAAGAATAAGATGAGTGCCCAGATCTCAAATCAAAAGCAAAATCATCCAGATTTTTAAAAAATGCATTATGTTTCTTTTCTCTTGGCATTTGGAAGCTGAAAACAAAAATAATCCCATAGACAAGTAAAAAAATCCTGACTAAAGCATTCTGAGATTGCCATGTATATATGCTTGCCATATCATATAGACAGTACTTACTTCAGAGATAATTCTTCTTTTTCAACCAAAAGAAAAATCTGTAGTTAAAATGGATACTAAGGAAGAAACAACTTTTGACCAACAGTTATTGCAGTTATCTTACAATCTAAGAAAAGAATATAGTCATGTTAAATATTTTTGGGCTAAAATCTAGGGTAAATTCACAGCTCTACATTCAGGGATAATAAAAGAAAAGCCATCCTTTCTAGATAATAGAATTTGCTCATTCTTTTTTCATTCTTCCCTCCCGCTCTCCCTCCCTCCCTCCTTCCCTTTCTCCTCCCTTCCTCTCTTTCATTCTTTCTCCCTTTTTTTGTCTATATTTTCTCCCAGCACCCCACCCAAATGATGTTTGATGAAAAATGCATTTGAGGCAGACGTGGCTCTCAATTATTTCTTTTTTAAAAAGTTTTGTCTTTTTATATAAATCTTATCCCTACCACTTATATCTCATTTTAAAAATAGCACAGGCTTCTAGGATGCTGATGATCTTTGTCCTCATATTACCAGTAGTATAAAACAGAGCACTTAGATTTGAAGTCTAATGAAAAAAATACTCAGGAACAGAATATAACCCCATGCAAAATAACCCAGATGGTGGTTCTCAAGAGCAAAGAATACAACTGTCCAGTGCTTACCAACTTCATGCATTGTGTAACAATCCACAGGTTTGCCATATTGGAGTGTCACTTGTATTGTCAATATTCTTTTAACTTAAACTATTTGCTTATTGGTTTAAATACATTTATTCTAAAGAAAAATGATATGTTAGCTCTAATTAAAGAGAAATCTTAAAATAAGATGACAAAAATAAAAGTCATACTATAAAATTGTAATGATATTGTTGTGTACCTCAAATATTTAGAATGATGCCTCTCCCTTTTGTAAACATACTTGTATTAGAGAGGAGCTTAAGGTATAGGAGCATCAAGCTGAAGTATTCTCCTTGATAATACTTAGGAGGTTTCGAAGAGAGGTGAAAAGAGCTTACCCATTGTATGATACTCTGTCATTTAATACCATCTCAATCTACTACCTAAAACCATTATCTAAACCACAGTTAGTGCGATGCACTAACTTAGTAATTTTCTCCCTGCACATACACAATATCTAGCAAATGCTTGATGCATACGTATTAAATATCTGTTGAGTCGAACTTGGACTGATTATCTCTTTAGTTCCTTTATTTGGCCAGATTACCTTTATAATCTTAATTGATGGCATCAGACTTTGTGTGTTGTCCCAAGCACAAAATAAATACTTGGTAATAACTTCTCAGTCAATATTTAGACCCATATGGACAGAACAAGCCACGCATCTTTACCATCAATCGAAATGATAGGGATGAAGTTCCTATATACTTTGTGCTGTAAAGAGTCAAATGAGTTACATACTATTTATATTTTTCCACCAGTATATTCAGTAAGATACTGAACTACAAGGTTTCACATAGAACTCAAAGAAAAAATGATTTACGTATATTGGCTATAATATCAATATTATGGAAGAAGCTAGTGCTTCTCTCTGTTGACTCATCTGCTTAGGAAAGCTAACTTTTTTCTCACTACAATTTCTACTTTAGACTTTGCCCTAAAATGGCAATAGCATGTGTTTGGTGTTAAAATTCAATTTTATTCTAGTTGACTTTAAAAACATGTATATTTGGTCCTAATTGCATCCAGAAGCATAAAGTTGCACCATGTTTTAAAAGTAAAGAGGGTTCCGTACAGCAATAAAAATAACATGTTTGCCCCAGCATGGAGGCTCACACCTGTAATCCCAGCACTTTGGGAGGCCAAGGTGGGTGGATCACCTAAGGTCAGGAGATCAAGACCAGCCTGGTCAACATGGTGAAACCCCATCTCTACTAAAAATACAAAAAATTAGCTGGGCATGGTGGCAGACACCTGTAGTCCCAGTTACTCGGGAGGCTGAGGCAGGAGAATCACTTGAACCTAGGAGGCGGAGGTTGCAGTGAGCTGAGATTGCACTACTGCACTCCAGCCTGGGTGACAGAGCAAGACTCTGCGTCAAAAAAATAAAAAAATAAAAATAACATGCTTATATATTAATACCATGATTTAGGAAACCCAGAGAGGTTGAATATATAAAAACATGTCTTTGAGAATAATAAACATCATCCTAATTCAGAAGCATTGCAAAGCCATTGAAGACTTAATAATGAAAAAAGTATAAAATTTAAAATGTGAATGTGCTGTTCATATAGAATAATATCATGAAAAAAAAAATACGTTGGATAACCAGTAAGAAAAAAGTAAGAAAAATGAAAACAATTTTAAAAAGATACATACAGGTTAATATTAGGAGACATGGTGCACATATGTTTCAAGTTTTATCTAAAAGCAAGCTAGAACCTTTTAAAAAATAATAAAGCTAGATAAGTTAGGAGAAAGGTCTTAGAATAAATCAAATACGTGTTCCTGTGTACTTCACACTTCTAAATATAAAACTTATGAATTATGAAAATAATATGCCATGAAATTGTTATGTGACAATTTTTATGACTTCATTAGTCCAAAATTATCTAATTGTTATTCTGCCTGAACCCAGGGAGATGGATTAATCAATGATCTTTCTGGCCACTTTCAGCTCTGTAATTATACATGGATAGCACAATGGTAAAGGAGAAAATGAAATGGAAATAGAACAAAATCTTAAAATTTTAAGGAAACTAACGATGTTCAAAGTAAAGATATCAGTCAAGTGTTAGTTCTGTGCAAATGTCTTATTGGATTTTTAGGTTATGTTTGACTGAGTAGGCTCAACACATTCAGGTGCACCCTTTTCTCTGAGAAAGGTGATAAGTTAATTTTATGCAGCTATCTCAGGGAAATCTTATCTTCAGATGAGCTCTTATGTTTAATGGTCTCAAAAAATGGACCAGAGAATTACTCAGTATAAAATCTTACAGTCATAAGACTGGACAGAAATCAATTTTAGGGGGCATTTTAAAGAGCTTCTCATTAAATATTTTATCATTTACAACTCTCAGAAAAATGATCAGTCTTATTCATTTAACAAATGTTTATTGTGTGCCTCGTGTATGTCAGACATAACTTTAGTGTCTGGAAATTTGCTTCTGCCTGGCCAAATTATCTTATTTGGCACAGTTTAATTTATTAGAAAGTCCTTTCTTATTTAATTGCTCTTGATTATGCCTTTGAAACTATGTAGGCTAAGTCTACTTCCTCTTTCAGAAGACATTCTTCAAGATTAAGAAAAAGTTTTCAACTTTACTAGAAAAGAGTTCAGAACAGAATATTTCCTTTTATATGCTCCAAAGTGTTTTATACATGAATATATGTGTATATATGTATATTTTAAAATACATTAAATATATTTAAACATAATTAAATATATTAAGATACATATCTATATATTTTAGTACTATATTTAGTGCTTTAAAATGCCAATAGCAGAGTTGTTATTAATTAATTACATGTGGCATTTCCAAGGTTTAATCTGTAGGTCTGTTTCTACTTGTGGTAGTCTTTCCAGTTATCTCATATCTCCATAACCTGGATACTATAAGTATCTCTCCCTAGACATCCTGATTGAGCTCCATGTGTGATTTTTCCATTGACTGCTGGTCATCTTAAATTAAATATCCCATAACCACTTCATAGCAAAATTTCCAAATCTCAACATTTTCTCAACAGATTTGTGCATCCTCTATCTTGGTAAATTGAGCCACCATCTACCCAAATTTCTAAGGCAGATGCTTTAAGTCTCATATTTACTGTTAATTTCACCTCTTCATTATCCTTCAAATATGGCCCCTTCTTTTGACCATGTAAGTGTATTAGTTTAGACATCCATTATTTCTTATCTACATTTCTGTAAAACCACCAAATTGGCTTTTTGACACTTGTTTTTCCCCTCTAATCACTGTCATGCTGTTTTAAGAATATGCAAATTAATTATGTCATTCCCCTTCTTAAATTTCTTAAAATACTGTATCTTGTATAGCATATGTAGTCACATAAAAGATTTTCCCAATTTTCCCTTCTATATTTTGCACAAATTCTACTCTTTCCTAGCTCTATTCTAATTAAGAGTTCCACTTACCAACTCTTGGTAAAATCTATAAAGTCTTATTTTTCTCTTTGTGTTAAAACCAGAGCTTTACATTATTCTTTACCCACATTCTGGATTGAACAGAAATTCCTGAAAATATTGGTAGAATTTTCAGTTTCCTCATCACATAGGAATATTCCTAATTACTGGGAAATTTCATCATGTCCATTTCCTTTCAATGTTATATCCAGTGTCTTTCACTTTAGGGATCTTATGTGTAGTCAGGAACCAAGAGTATATTAATGTCAATAGTTAGCACATATATACCAAGACAATATGTAAGTTCAAACCTCAGTATTTTTCCTGAAGCTATTCAACACATCATAGTCATTATATGCATGCAAACCTATGCTAGAGGTGAATGGGGTTTGGAAAACATAAGAATCAAAGATAATTAGCTATTAAAGGTATTATATTAGGAAGCAAGTTTAGTGGGCAAGTGGGTACTCATTTTTCCTTTTATTTGTCATATTTTGATTTCATTGTTATTTTAAATGCTTTGGTTTAAAATTTTTCAAACATTCACAAAAGTAGAAGGAAAAACATCATCTACACTGGCAATAGTGGTCTGTATATGTCCTGTGATTAGTCATTTAACCTTTGCACTACCTTTTCACCTGAGATCTCAAGACAGAATTCTAATAACCTCCCCTTAGTGCTCTTAAACATGCTATAAAAATTAAAGCTTCTGCTGGCGAAGCTAAATACAATTTACATTTAAATACAAATACAATGTAGATTTAATGGGAGAATTGGGGCATGTAAATACAGCAATCAGAGCAAGAGAGCAGGGTGTTGACTGCATTTTATTGATGAGAACAGGGACCTAGGAATCAGAGTGTGAATTATATTCCCAATTCTGTTACTTTTGCTGTTACCAGGAGAAACACATTTTACCTGTCTCAGTTTATCCAACTGCAAAGAAAAACTGCTTTTATTTTCTGATGTGGTCTTCACTCAGATTTCAGATTATTAAAGCTGTCTGAATGCATTTTTTAAATGTAAAAAAAATACGATTTCAAAATAAATATTACATCATTCAGTAGAGTGTTGTTTATTACAACACTCAGTTTCTACAGCTGAGATAAAAGAAATAAAGGCAACTGTATGAGTTGTCAGGTGGAGTATCATGTCCTAATGGTTAAAGACTTAGGAGTATGAATGTTCACAGTTCATAGGTCAAAGGTAAGAAACACAGGTCATTTCAGAAGAAAAGATGGTGCCATGACAAGCCTACTGCCTTCCACTGACCAAGACACTGTCCTCTATGAGATTTTAGACAAGCTCTTCTGAATCCTGTTTTCAACTAAGCCTCATTCTTGGGCCTTGTCTTTGGCTTACTTAATCTGGTTTTAGCAAGAATCCTGCTAAGTGACTTTAGAGCAATTCCCCTACCTTTTATATCTGATCATCCTCAACATTTGATCAAATTCCTCATCCTCAAACCTTGGTTTCATTAAGTTAGTTCAGCAAAAATTCTCCATAGCACTGATATATTCTCTTAGTAATTCTTTATCCACTGTCCCCTGCCCCTTGCTTCTTGGCTATAAATCCCCAGTTCTCCAGCTATCCTTGAAGTATTCAGAATTGAGCCTTTTCTTTCTCTGTATTGAGATAGTTTGGCACCTACTGAAATAGTCCTAAATAAAGTGTTCCTTATTAAAATAAAGGGTTCCTTATGACAGGAACACTGAATAATTTTTTTCTTTAACATGATCAACACACCACACACACACACGGACAAGTCCTAGTGTGTGAGAGGAATCAAGTGTACTGAAAGCCTAGATGCTGGGAAGCCTGTAGAAAAATGAATGAACAGGCTGGGCACGGTGGCTCAAGCCTGTAATCCCAACACTTTGGGAGGCTGAGGCGGGAGGATCACGAGGTGAGGAGATCGAGACCATCCTGGCTGACACGGTGAAACCCCATCTCTACTAAAAATACAAAAAATTAGCCCGGCGTGGTGGCGGGCACCTGTAGTCCCAGCTATTCGGGAGGCTGAGGCAGGAGAATGGCGTGAACCCGGGAGGCAGAGCTTGCAGTGAGCTGAGATCACGCCACTGCACTCCAGCCTGGGCAACAGAGTGAGACTCCGTCTCAAAAACAAAAAACCAAAATGAAAAATGAATGAACAGAAAACTGTGGAACAATGCCAATTAGCTATAGAAAGCTTAATAGAGTAACTGATACTTTTTCTAGACTCCCAACCTGTGTCACTGGCCAAGTCACGATTCTTTGCCCTGGAACTTTTTGATTAATGTTTATTCAAAATGAGGGCCTTAGAAGAGGGGATTTCTGGAAGTGTCAAACTGTCATTTGTCTTTCTTCTTTCCTGTGAGGCTGAATTCCCCTGATTGGCTACTGCGTATTAGAGAGTTTTGTTCCACCATTACCAATGATACTGCTCTGGTGTCTGTTAGGTGGTGCTGCCCCTAGACATGGACAGGGAGCCAAAATTAAATTGGAGAGTGTTCTGAGACTCCTCTGTCTGGTGGAGCTGCCTCTGAACTAAACACTTTGCTCCCACTCCACTCTTGAACCTGCACCTGGCAGTCCCCTCCTTACCCTGTTTCGTTATTTTATCTTCAAATTTCTGCAGCCAGGGAAGACTTACAGTCAGGTCAATGCTTCTCTGCCCTTGCATTAAAATCGAGTTACTAATCCACAATCTGCTTCTCTCCACCCTGCCCTTACGTAAGCTGAGAAGCCATTCCCTCTGCCTTTCTCTGAGATATCATCAACCACTTTGCTTTGTATATTCCTCCCAGTGCCCCTCACCCCTCTTTTAATAAAAGCCCAGACCCTTCCCTTCCCTTCAGCAGAACCACATTGTTGTTTGTTTGGTTTTCGATTTAGCTGTGGGATTACAAACCAAAAGAGGATTGGGAAGTCATCATAGAGATTATCTAGTTCATATTCCCCATCTGGTATCTGATCACTCCGATGTACCAGCGGCCAGCCTCTGTCTGCCTCTAAACCACTCACATGAAATTCACCTCTGCCTGGGCAGCTTTTCTCATTTAGGGGCAATTAGACATCCTTACACCACAGAGCTGCTACTGCTTAGACAAAGAAATAATAGAAAAGATCCAGGTTAAGATAAGTAGAAATGTATCTGATTCCCTAATTTAACTAATTGTTAATAATTGTTTAAAAAATTTTTTAAAACAACTACCTTGTATTTTAGTTTCTAATATGTTAAATGGGACAAACAATGACTTTCCCCAACTGTCTCAAAAGGTTGTCAGAAAAACCTCCCGTGTCAGCCTAAACTGGGCCCAGTGCTAGGGTTTTTCTGAGTGTGCCTTACGAGTTGATGGGGGGCCTGCTCAAAAAATCTGTACTTGGTGATAAGTATCCAATTATGTGGAAGAAGAAGGGAGGAAAATGTAGCATAAAATTGGTTAAAGCAAAGCATTCTCTCCACTTCCCTGGGGAACACAGCACCTCTCTGGTACAAGAGTCAGCATGGACATTAGCACTGTCATTTTAGCATTGTTACAGTCCCTGTGAGGCATTTTCAAAGTAGTTTGGAGGACAGAGAACACGAAGAAAACAAACCAGAACAGAAGAGAAAGAAAACAATGGACATCTTGGGATAACAGTACCTGCCACGCAATGTTTTGAGACAAAATCAAACATCACCTCCAAGCTTTATAAAACACAAAGATGAGAGGCACTGCCAGTGTATGCACAAATGGGGTCAAGATGCGACCATGTTTGGTTTTAATGTTAATATTACCTATTTGTATCCAGAAAAGAAAAGTTGTATTATTTATATTAAAGTACTTTGCAAGCTACAAAGTTCTATGCAAAATTAATGTAATACTATGCTTTTAAAATGAGTAAAACCTCTAGGCATGCCTTTTCTATATAGATGCACAATTTAAAAAAAAATGTTATAAACCTCTCAGCTTTATGACACTAATGTGCAACTCTGAACCACTATTGAAATAAAGAGAAAACAGGTTGCTTTACTTTGTTCCTGACCAGGCTTCTGTCTATTTTTAGACATTTGCAGGAGTGCTGCTCTTGAATAGCTAATTAAAGAGCTAAGAAGGAAAGTCAACGCGGGGGAAATTCTTTTGATTAACTTATATGCTGCATTTATTTCCTCTGGAATAATCTGCATCATCTATAAAGCACCCACTTAGCCAAAAATTTTTTTTTTATCAAGCGCCGTTTCTGAGAAAGGATGGGGAGGGACAGGCATAAAAAACATGAAGGAATCCTTCCGCTACTCTTAAGCAAACCTCTTTTGTGACCTGTGCTCAGTTTTAGAATCTCACATACCACCTGTCTGAAAGATGAATTTCCCTTCAGCTCCAGTATGCTGAACTTTGCCCAAAGTTAAAGCAAACATGTTTTATGCATGATCTTGAAGGCAAATGAATACAAGGAGCAAAACTACATAGACAGCACCTTTCCTACTTCTGCAGACTAATTACGGTCAGCTTTGCTTGCCTTCCAGAATACCAGTTCAGCTCTTGAACAAAATCTGTGGTGGGGTGTCTCTGGTACACAAACCCTTGCTTCCAGGATGGGCGTGACACTAGGCCCTGGCTTCTATATATACCAGACATTTTATCGATACTCTAAACAACAAACAAATTGCTCAAGGAATTCTGATACATGAAAGGCACTAAACAAATATTGATGGTTGTTATTTAATTTATTCAACCCAAACCTGGACCAAGTTGGGAGTAAAGCAGTGAAGGCAAAATCCCTCCCATCATGGAAATTACATGCAAAATAAATGCATAAACAAGTAAAGTTAGTATTTTTAAATAGGGTCAAATTCTATTAAAAAATAATGCAGATTAATTAAGGTAGTCCGTGAGTATGAGAAGGTGCCTTACTGAGTATGAGAAAGTATGAATCATGTAAAAATCTGGGGGTAGAGCAGCCCAGGCAGAGAGAAAATAGCAAATGTGAAGGCCTTGAACAGAGAAATGAGTAACAGCAAGACAGAATAGTTGGAGAAAAGGAGGGCAGAGACAGTGAAGTCTGAGGGACAGCTGGAGTTGGCTTTGTAGGCGCTCATCAAAATTTGGGTTGTATCATCAGGGTGGGAGCAGAAACCACTGCAAAGAGAGATTTTAGTAGGAAAATGATACAAACTGATTTGTGTTTGGAGCTCACTCTGACAGCAATGTGAAGAATGAACAATACCAGGCAGGTCAACATATCAAAGGGTTGTTGAATAAACAAATGAGAGGGAAGTCAATATAAGTTGTTATGAGAGGTTTTTTTTTTTTTTAATTCCAATTTTTAGTACAATTGCAAGGAATATGGTCCTGTGCAACTTTTTTTGAGATTCTTTTCTAAAGAAATCTGTTGCTAAGGAGGTTGCTAAGGAGACTGAGCAAAGCCTGGAAGATAAGTGACTTAAGTATTTTATGCAGACTAATTTAAATACCAGAGAGGTGGAGCCAAGAGTAGTTTAATCCCCCAAAGGAGAAAAATGCATGAGTTAGAAAAGGTCAGTGAAGGAGCTTGCAAGTCTACGTGTGAGTGTGTATGTCTATGTGTATGTACATGTTTCAACCAGAAAAATGATTGGTGGCATGCCTCAGGGGACTAACCAAAGAATTTGTTTAAAAAAAACATGTAATTCTTGATTCAAGAAAGTTAGAACTAGCTAAGATACCACTGGCTGATTTTAAAAACTCAGTAAAAATAGGAAGATTGACCTCATTTGGGGAAAAGAGCACAAAGAAAGAACAGAAAGGACTGTTGCTCACTGAAGATGGCTTAGTGTAGTGTTGCATACCTACGCTTTAAAATTAGATAAAAATTGAGCAGCCACTTAAAGGTCATGAATCCTAAAGTTCTTTGAATCTTCATGACCTTTGGTATTCTTAATTGTAAAATAATGAAAGAGAAATGCATCTTGCTTTTTGTGGCTGAGAAGTTTAGTGATATGCTTTGGCTCTGTGTCCCCACCCGAATCTCATCTTGAATTGTAATCCCCATAATTCCCATGTGTTGAGGGCAGGACCTGGTAGGAGGTCATTGGATAATGGGAGCTATTTCCCCCATGCCATTCTTGTGATAGTGAACAAGTTCTCATGAGATCTGATGGTTTTAAAAGGGGCTCTTCCCCCTTTTGCTTCTTTCACATTCTCTCTCTCTCTCTCTCCTGTCACCATGTAAGACGTGCTTCTTCCACTTCCACCATGACTGTAAGTTTCCTGAGGCCTCCCCAGCCCTGCCGAACTGTGAATTCATTAAACCTCTTTTTTTTAATATATTAACCAGTCTTGGGTATGTCTTTATAGCAGTGTGAAAATGGACTAATACAGTTAGTCATCCACTCCCAAATTTATTCTCTCTTTCCTAGCCAGGACTCTTTGGGAAACAGCCACCCATTTGGGGCCTATATCTCCCAGGGTCTTTCTGACTCATTCTCTTGTATTTCCCCACCACCTCCCTTGCTTTGAAGTTTGGTCTTGTGAGTTATTCTGGCTAATGGAAGAAGAACTCATTTTCTAGGCAGCAGTTAAGAAGCAGTTGTGCTACTATATACACTTTAGGTGATAAAAGACCCACAAGATGCAGGAAGCCTAGGTTCTAGAATCATCGCATGAAATAAAGCATATCATTTAACAGGATCAAAGACAGGGTAGTTAAATATATGGAATAAACTTTTATTGTGTTAAGCTACTAAAATTTGGGGGTTAATTTATAGCAGTTTATATTACTACAACCAATGCGTGTGCTGATTGTGAACATTGCAAATGTTGTATAGTCTCACTCTGGCAATGACTATTTCATAAATTAAATGACAATCGGTATTAGTTTTGATACCTTGGACAAGTTATTCAACCTCTCTGAGTCTAATTCACTCACATATATACTACGTCTTCCCCAAATATTTTCTTCTCCACTCAACATCCCCAATTTTGTCCTTCATTTTTCAAGTCAGATCTTTATCATCCTTGCATTTTCTAAAAGCCCTCAGGTTGATAAATGCTCCTCTTAAAGTAGAGCACTCAGAATTAAGGGCATTACCATAGACAGGTCTAATACAAGAGTTCCATAACTTTGCCTGTTTTGAATATTAGACATCTATTATAGTTAAAGATTACATGGACATAGGTAAAACCAGTGTCACTTTACTTATTAAGATAGTAATTAGGTACTGTGTATAAGTGAGCCTATGTCTTTATTCTATATTGATGCAATCATATTCTAAGACTTGAGTTTGAATTTCATCACATTTGTTTTAACTTGTTTTATGATGGGTGTGACACAACACATTAATTATTCTTCTCAACATTGTTTTATTTCTATATCTGATAAGCATGACACCTACATCTTTTTCCAAGCTATTATGGAAATGCTGAACTGAAAGAGTCACTTCCATCATATTTTCTTCTAAAAGATGGTTTTAAATATCCTAATAAATATCCAAGTTTTTAAACCCATATTTTTAAAGCATCAATCTTTATAGTCAGGAGGTGGTTTTTAAAACATTGGCTAATTTCTACTTTTTATATTCCTAGACTATTTGAATTCCTTGAAATTTTACCTATTCACAACTAACCCAATACTGAGGGTCTATTTGCTCAATAAGCAGATGCACTTAACAAACATTGAACATAGCAGTTCTCAATGGTGCAGCATCACTTTCAAAGAGGTGTTTTTGAATTTTAGGTATGTTTTGGTTGTCACAGTGATTAGCGGATTGTCTAGGAATGAACAGGGATGCTATCCATCCTTCAATGCCCAGGCCTATCCTGTATATCAGAGAACTGTTCTGTATCTGGAAACTATCAAATATCCTGTGGGAGATTTATGTTGATGAATAATCTCTATATAATTGACCCTAGATTCTAGCTTTCTACATAGAGTTACAAATAAACACAAATATAAACATATTTTTCTCCATTTTAATTACAAAGAACTTTTCAGAAATGTCATAATGTTAAACAATGAGAAAAGTAATTTCATTGTGAATTAAAATTTCATTTCTTAAAGAAATTAAATCTTTCATTTTATTTCTTCACAAAAGCATGCTGATTGTGAACATTGCAAATGATGTATAGTCTCACCCTGGCAATGACTATTTGATAAATTAAATGACAATCAGTATTAGTTTTGATACCTCGGACAAGTTATTCAACCTCTCTGAGTTTCAATTCACTCACATATATACTATGTCTTCCCTAAATATTTTCTTCTCCACTCAACATCCCCAATTCTGTCCTCCATTTTTCAAGTTAGATCTTTATTACTCTTGTATTTTCTAAAAGCCCTCAGGTTGATAAAAGCATGCCATAAGTCATAATCTCATGAAATTTAACTTGTAAATATAACACTTCCTGTTATTCTGCATATTTATTATCGTATTCACACTGAGTCTATTTATATATACATTGAGTCTATGTATTAGCCCATATTTCGTTAACAAAGATTTTTTAAGTGGCAACAATATTCAGGTGAATGTTTTCTGTTTTCTCTTAAAACTAAATACATTTTTATAAGTACGTGCAAGTACTTTATCATATTATGCCTTCTAGTGTACTCACGCCTGATCTTTTATGTAATGAAATTCATATTATTTTATTATATATTAGTTGCTTATTATTCCTTCTTTTTATTAGAATTAAGACATACCCACATTAATCATGTGCGTAAGTAGGCTGCCATAACAAAACTATAGTCTGTGTGGTATAACAACAGAAGCTTGTTTTCTAACTGTTCCAGAGGCTGACTATCTGAGATCAAAGTGCCAGCATTGTCCAGTTCTGGTGAGGGCTCTCTTCCTGACTGCCAACTTCTCATTGTGTTCTTACATGGCAGAGAGAGAGAGAGAGAGAGAGAGAGAGAGAGGAGAAAAAAGAAAGAGGAGAAGGAGATCTCTTCTTCTTATAAGGCCAAAGTTCTATCACATTAGGGCCACACCTTATAAGCTCATTTAACCTTAATTACTTCCTAAAGGCCCTGTCTCCCAATACAGTCACATTGGCAGTTAGGGTTGCACCATACGAATATTGGGAGAATAATTTAGCCCATCACAGTAGGTTATATTATATCTTAATTTCATGGTGGTAAATAGAATATATCAAATTACTGTTAATAAAAAGGGAAGAACTTGGGTCTGATAGAGTTAATAAATATCTATTTAGTATCTTACATTTATTAAGGATTTCTGTGGCCTATTAATGGGGATTAGATAAAGAATAGGAAATAGCTTCTGCCTTAAGGAGCAAAAGTTTGCATTAGAAACAGATAGGTAATAAATGCAGTGATAGACATATAAAGAAGGCACTAAAGACACATGGAAGAGAAGCACCTAATTCAGTCTTGTGAATACAGCAGGTACTGCCATAGCCTCTTGTCACTCACCGTTCCTGCACATCCTGACAGGATCTTACTGCAAGCACTTGTGATTCTCTGCCTGTGGACTTTCTGTGACTGTAGGAACATGTTAACCCCAAGCCCAAGGCAGGCTGGAAGTGCCATCCAGGTACTGGGCCATCTCCTCCCAAGAGCAGTTTTCAATCAAAGATGGAGGAGAGTTGGTGCATACATATGTTGACTTCCTCACCCCTCAGGTAGAATATCTGATGCATTTTCTATGTAATCTCTCCAGTGTCCCCAGCATGACTAAGCTCTACCCAGTTGCCCACAGTGGCAATCTGCTTATTAATGCATTGACTTCCTTATTTTCCATGTATCATTTTTCTACTTCTGTTCCTAGGTACATTGGATTCACCTCCCATGTAAACTACTTGAACTCAAGTCCTGGTTTCAGAGCACTTTTGAGTAGGCCAAATCTAAGACAGGTTGTGGAATTCATGTGCACGTTTGCTGTAAGATTCACTCCCCTCTCCTTGCTGCTCTGCTTTGTATCTTAGGGAATGACATTCCCTGAGCTCCCTTGCCAACTGACCTGTAACTAGTTTAGGCAACAGAAGTCACTGGTGGAAGAATGAAGGCCAGGAAGAGAAGCCAGAATATTTACATGTCTCTCACTCTGTATCGTGGAATTTCTAGCAGTTGCTGTGATTTTTTTGATTTACCTCCCAAGGGAAAACCCATTTCTTTGTAGTCTCAGGTCCCACCAGACAGTTCATACCATGGTTCTAGCTCTTTCAGGACAATCCCAGCTTCCAGACTCAGATAAACCACCTGCTCCTTGTTTCCCTACAGCATGGTGTATATAGAAAATTTAAATACTTCTGTGGTGTTGAAATATTCAGTGTCAGCTGATGAGTGACAGGAATGGGCCAAAAGGTAAGAAGCACATAAATGAAAGAGGACCTCAGACACATGTTGAGGATCATGGAATTTATCCTGTTAAGTAAAATTTATTGAATTCAAATACTATCTTTTATGTTTCCTTTTAAAGATAACCCATCATAGTGTTAAATTATTCAACACAATCTGAATCCTTATTTCTAAATTACAAGAACGTTTCTCCATTTATTTTAGAAGCACTTCCTTTTTGGGCAACAAAATTTTTCTCTCCCTTGGGATTTAAAGATTTCACAGAAGGCATGATTCATATCTATGGAATCTAAGCCCAAAACAGGCAAAGAAATATGCAAGAGGAAGGTGTAATGTGATGACCATCAGACTGAGTATTAGATGTGAATTCTATACTCTATCCTCCCATTTTGGGATGGTGATGACAAAAACAAACAAATCAATTAAGTTAGAACAAAAGCCACTGGAGATCACACCAACTTCCAGATAACCACCAGCCCTCAAAATGCTTCTTGACTCTTGCTACTTTAGAGAAATTGTAGACCAAAATTCAGATATATGTGGGGCCAGACACTGTACACTAAATGTGTTACTACATCTTACCCTTTCAATAAATACAAAATCTAAAGTTGTGACCCAACACTGTACAAAAATAAATTGCATCAGAATAATTGAGGAAATTATAAAGTAATTGTTTTTCCTCCTGGTTTCTTCTCCCCAACACTGAAAAAAGGATACTTCAGGAAATGGTGGCCAAAAATCTAAACTGATAAAGCATAGAATACTAAAGACCAGAAGCTGAATACATGCACATGGCAGCAATTTTATATTCCCTCATGTTTTCAGAGATCTGATGAATTTATTGCAAGGGATGTTAAATTGACTGAAGCTTAATTCATTTTAATCAAGATATATTTAAAACAAAACAAAAGTCTCTAAAACCACAGTTGTTCTTTTATTTCTAAGCCCTGTCCACATGTTCAAATTTCAGCAGAAGTCATGATTAGAAAGAGGCTAAATCAAAGCAACTTTGACAAAAACTGCATTTGACTGATGCGGACATGGTGGTGGTAAGCGTGGTTCAGGCATTTCCATAGAAGATTCAAGTGCTTTCAAGTCTTCACATCCCAGTGCACCCTAAACCTCCTTAGTTACCAAAAAAAAGTGCTTTTCTTTGTAGGAGATTGGCAATTTCCCTGGTATTGCAGCATGACATTTTCCCAGATAGGCTGTCAAAAACTAGGGCATTGAGCTGCATGCTTTGCCAAGTAGTTTCCCTTCTGATTTATAAAAACAAGTGATATTTTATCCTTCTTTACTGGATTCATTCAAATGTAACATAAACTCATATCTACAGGCTTTCATCAAAATGATACAAAATCGAGAAACCCAAAGGATACTTATTATTTTGCCTCTACCCTAAACAAAGACTTTACTAATTAAGGCAGATTTTTGTTTTACTCTCCAGTCTGTCCTCAAAGTATCTCTGGTTGGAAATCGCTCTGTCAATAATTTTTAAAATTCAATTGCATAAGTATCATCTAGGAAACATGTTAAATACAGAAACCCCATAAATTACTGAGACTGCATAAACAAGGATTCTACTCTGGGGTTAGGCCTAGAAAGCTGCACTTGCAACAAGAACACCGGGTATTACTGATGCAGGTAGTTTAGAGATAGTGCTTTAAGAAACACAGCTACAGGGAGGAGCCAAGATGGCCAAATAGGAACAGCTCTGGTCTACAGCTCCCAGCATGAGCGACGCAGAAGACAGGTGATTTCTGCATTTCCGTCTGAGGTACCAGGTTCATCTCACTAGGGAGTGCCAGACAGTGGGCGCAGGTCAGTGGGTGCGCGAACTGTGCGCGAGCCGAAGCAGGGCGAGGCATTGCCTCACTTGGGAAGCGCAAGGGGTCAGGGAGTTCCCTTTCCGAGTCAAAGAAAGGGGTGATGGACGCACCTGGAAAATCGGGTCACTCCCACCCGAATATTGAGCTTTTTGGACCGGCTTGAAAAACGGCGCACCACGAGATTATATCCGGCACCTGGCTCAGAGGGTCCTACGCCCACGGAGTCTCACTGATTGCTAGCACAGCAGTCTGAGATCAAACTGCAAGGCGGCAGCAAGGCTGGGGGAGGGGCGCCCACCATTGCCCAGGCTTGCTTAGGTAAACAAAGCAGCCAGGAAGCTCGAACTGGGTGGAGCCCACCACAGCTCAAGGAGGCCTGCCTGCCTCTGTAGGCTCCACCTCTGGGGGCAGGGCACAGACAAACAAAAAGACAGCAGTAACCTCTGCAGACTTAAGTGTCCCTGTCTGACAGCTTTGAAGAGAGCAGTGGTTCTCCCAGCACGCAGCTGGAGATCTGAGAATGGGCAGACTGCCTCCTCAAGTGGGTCCCTGACCCCTGACCCCTGAGCAGCCTAACTGGGAGGCACCCCCCAGCAGGGGCACACTGACACCTCACAAGGCAGGGTATTCCAACAGACCTGCAGCTGAGGGTCCTGTCTGTTAGAAGGAAAACTAACAAACAGAAAGGACATCCACACCAAAAACCCATCTGTACATCACCATCATCAAAGACCAAAAGTAGATAAAACCACAAAGATGGGGAAAAAACAGAACAGAAAAACTGGAAACTCTAAAAAGCAGAGTGCCTCTCCTCCTCCAAAGGAACGCAGTTCCTCACCAGCAACAGAACAAAGCTGGATGGAGAATGACTTTGACGAGCTGAGAGAAGAAGGCTTCAGATGATCAAATTACTCTGAGCTATGGGAGGACATTCAAACCAAAGGCAAAGAGGTTGAAAACTTTGAAAAAAATTTAGAAGAATGTATAACTAGAATAACCAATACAGAGAAGTGCTTAAAGGAGCTGATGGAGCTGAAAACCAAGGCTCAAGGACTACGTGAAGAATGCAGAAGCCTCAGGATTGCATTCCAGTTCATGCGATCAACTGGAAGAAAGGGTATCAGCGATGGAAGAGGAAATGAATGAAATGAAGTGAGAAGGGAAGTTTAGAGAAAAAAGAATAAAAAGAAATGAGCAAAGCCTCCAAGAAGTATGGGACTATGTGAAAAGACCAAATCTACGTCTCACTGGTGTACCTGAAAGTGATGGGGAGAATGGAACCAAGTTGGAAAACACTGCAGGATACTATCCAGGAGAACTTCCCCAATCTAGCAAGGCAGGCCAACGTTCAGATTCAGGAAATACAGAGAACGCCACAAAGATACTCCTCGAGAAGAGCAACTCCAAGACACATAATTGTCAGATTCACCAGAGTTGAAATGAAGGAAAAAATGTTAAGGGCAGCCAGAGAGAAAGATCAGGTTACCCTCAAAGGGAAGCCCATCAGACTAACAGCGGATCTCTCGGCAGAAACCCTACAAGCCAGAAGAGAGTGGGGGCCAATATTCAACATTCTTAAAGAAAAGAATTTTCAACCCAGAATTTCATATCCAGCCAAACTAAGCTTCATAAGTGAAGGAGAAAAATAAAATCCTTTACAGACAAGCAAATGCTGAGAGATTTTGTCACCACCAGGCCTGCCCTAAAAGAGCTCCTGAAGGAAGCGCTAAACATGGAAAGGAACAACCCATAACAGCCACTGCGAAATCATGCCAAAATGTAAAGACCATCAAGACTAGGAAGAAACTGCATCAACTAACGAACAAAATAACCAGCTAGCATCATAATGACAGGATCAAATTCACACATAACAATATTAACTTTAAATGTAAATGGACTAAATGCTCCAATTAAAAGACACAGACTGGCAAATTGGATAAAGAGTCAAGACCCATCAGTGTGCTGTATTCAGGAAACCCATCTCACGTGCAGAGACACACATAGGCTCAAAATAAAAGGATGGAGGAAGATCTACCAAGCAAATGGAAAACAAAAAAAGGCAGGGGTTGCAATCCTAGTCTCTGATAAAACAGACTTTAAACCAACAAAGATCAAAAGAGACAAAGAAGGCCATTACATAATGGTAAAGAGATCAATTCAACAAGAAGAGCTAACTATCCTAAATATATATGCACCCAATACAGGAGCACCCAGATTCATAAAGCAAGTCCTGAGTGACCTACAAAGAGACTTAGACTCCCACACATTAATAATGGGAGACTTTAACACCCCACTGTCAACATTAGACAGATCAACAAGACAGAAAGTCAACAAGGATACCCAGGAATTGAACTCAGATCTGCACAAAGCGGACCTAATTGACATTTACAGAACTCTCCACTCCAAATCAACAGAATATACATTTTTTTCAGCACCACACCACACCTATTCCAAAATTGACCACATACTTGGAAGTAAAGCTCTCCTCAGCAAATGTAAAAGAACAGAGATTATAACAAACTATCTCTCAGACCACAGTGCAATCAAACTAGAACTCAGGATTAAGAATCTCACTCAAAACCTCTCAACTACATGGAAACTGAACAACCTGCTCCTGAATGACTACTGGGTACATAACGAAATGAAGGCAGAAATACAGATATTCTTTTAAACCAACGAGAACAAAGACACAACATACCAGAATCTCTGGGAAGCATTCAAAGCAGTGTGTAGAGGGAAATTTATAGCACTAAATGCCCACAAGAGAAAGCAGGAAAGATCCAAAATTGACACACTAACATCACAATTAAAAGAACTAGAAAAGCAAGAGCAAACACATTCAAAAGCTAGCAGAAGGCAAGAAATAACTAAAATCAGGGCAGAACTGAAAGAAATAGAGATACAAAAAAACCCTTCAAAAAATTAATGAATCCAGGAGCTGGTTTTTTGAAAGGATCAACAAAACTGATAGACCGCTAGCAAGACTAATAAAGAAAAAAAGAGAGAAGAATCAAATAGACACAATAAAAAATGATAAAGGGGATATCACCACTGATCCCACAGAAATACAAACTACCATCAGAGAATACTATAAACACCTTTACACAAATAAACTAGAAAATCTAGAAGAAATGGACAAATTCCTCAACACATACACTCTCCCAAGACTAAACCAGGAAGAAGTTGAATCCCTGAATAGACCAATAACAGGAGCTGAAATTGTGGCAATAATCAGTAGTTTACCAACCAAAAAGAGTCCAGGACCAGATGGATTCACAGCCGAATTCTATCAGAGGTACAAGGAGGAACTGGTACCATTCCTTCTGAAACTATTCCAATCAATAGAAAAAGAGGGAATCCTCCCTAACTCATTTTATGAGAACAGCATCATCCTGATACCAAAGCCGGGCAGAGACACAACCAAAAAAGAGAATTTTAGACCAATATCCTTGATGAACATTGATGCAAAAATCCTCAATAAAATACTGGCAAACTGAATCCAGCAGCACATCAAAAAGCTTATCCACCATGATCAAGTGGGCTTCATCCCTGGGATGCAAGGCTGGTTCAATATACGCAAATCAATAAATGTAATCCAGCATATAAACAGAGCCAAAGACAAAAACCACATGATTATCTCAATAGATGCAGAAAAAGCCTTTGACAAAATTCAACAACCCTTCATGCTAAAAACTCTCAATAAATTAGGTATTGATGGGACGTATCTCAAAATAATAAGAGCTATCTATGACAAACCCACAGCCAATATCATACTGAATGGGCAAAAACTGGAAGCATTCCCTTTGAAAACTGGCACAAGACAGGGATGCCCTCTCTCACCACTCCTATTCAACATAGTGTTGGAAGTTCTGGCCAGGGCAATTAGGCAGGAGAAGGAAATAAAGGCTATTCAATTAGGAAAAGAGGAAGTCAAACTGTCCCTGTTTGCAGACGACATGATTGTATATCTAGAAAACCCCATTGTCTCAGCCCAAAATCTCCTTAAGCTGATAAGCAACTTCAGCAAAGTCTCAGGATACAAAATCAATGTACAAAAATCACAAGCATTCTTATACACCAGCAACAGACAAACAGAGAGCCAAATCATGAGTGAACTCCCATTCACAATTGCTTCAAAGAGAATAAAATACCTAGGAATCCAACTTACAAGGGATGTGAAGGACCTCTTCAAGGAGAACTACAAACCACTGCTCAAGAAAATAAAAGAGGATACAAACAAATGGAAGAACATTCCATGCTCATGGGTAGGAAGAATCAATATCGTGAAAATGGCCATACTGCCCAAGGTAATTTACAGATTCAATGCCATCCCCATCAAGCTACCAATGACTTTCTTCACAGAATTGGAAAAAACTACTTTAAAGTTCATATGGAACCAAAAAAGACCCCGCATCGCCAAGTCAGTCCTAAGCCAAAAGAACAAAGCTGGAGGCATCACACTACCTGACTTCAAACTACACTACAAGGCTACAGTAACCAAAACAGCATGGTACTGGTACCAAAACAGAGATATAGATCAATGGAACAGAACAGAGCCCTCAGAAATCATGCCGCATATCTACAACTATCTGATCTTTGACAAACCTGAGAAAAACAAGCAATGGGGAAAGGATTCCCTATTTAATAAATGGTGCTGGGAAAACTGGCTAGCCATATGTAGAAAGCTGAAACTGGATCCCTTCCTTACACCTTATACAAAAATCAATTCAAGATGGATTAAAGACTTAAACGTTAGACCTAAAACCATAAAAACCCTAGAAGAAAACCTAGGCATTATCATTCAGAACATAGGCATGGGCAAGGACTTCATGTCTAAAACACCAAAAGCAATGGCAACAAAAGACAAAATTGACAAATGGGATCTAATTAAACTAAAGAGCTTCTGCACAGCAAAAGAAACTACCATCAGAGTGAACAGGCAACCTACAAAATGGGAGAAAATTTTCGCAACCTACTCATCTGACAAAGGGCTAATATCCAGAATCTACAATGAACTCAAACAAATTTACAAGAAAAAAACAAACAACCCCATCAAAAAGTGGGCGAAGGACATGAACAGAGACTTCTCAAAAGAAGACATTTATGCAGCCAAAAAACACATGAAAAAATGCTCATCATCACTAGCCATCAGAGAAATGCAAATCAAAACCACAATGAGGTACCATCTCACACCAATTAGAATGGCAATCATTAAAAAGTCAGGAAACAACAGGTGCTGGAGAGAATGTGGAGAAATAGGAACACTTTTACACTGTTGGTGGGACTGTAAACTAGTTCAACCCTTGTGGAATCAGTGTGACGATTCCTCAGGGATCTAGAACTAGAAATACCATTTGACCCAGCCATCCCATTACTGGGTATATACCCAAAGGACTATAAATCATGCTGCTATAAAGACACATGCACACGTATGTTTATTGCGGCATTATTCATAATAGCAAAGACTTGGAACCAACCCAAATGTCCAACAATGATAGACTGGATTAAGAAAATGTGGCACATATACACCATGGAATACTATGCAGTCATAAAAAATGATGAGTTCGTGTCCTTTGTAGGGACATGGATGAAATTGGAAATCATCATTCTCAGTAAACTATCGCAAGAACAAAAAACCAAACACCGCATATTCTCAATCATAGGTGAGAATTGAACAATGAGATCACATGGACACAGGAAGGGGAATATCACACTCTGGGGACTGTGGTGGGGTGGGGGGAGGGGGGAGGGATAGCATTGGGAGATATACCTAATGCTAGATGACGAGTTAGTGGGTGCAGCGCGCCAGCATGGCACATGTATACATATGTAACTAACCTGCACAATGTGCACATGTACCCTAAACCTTAAAGTATAATAAAAAAATAATAATAAATAAATAAATAAATAATTTTTTAAAAAAAAGAAACACAGCTACAGATACTTAGGAAATGGTATAGTATAGTTGACTTCTGGGAATGCAACCTTTTCACATTTTCAAGAGTGAGCCATTCTAGAACATGTGGCCAAAGTATGGTAATTCTCAACCCGGCATGTGCAGCAGAATCCCCTGTGTGGCTTGTAAAAAGCACATATTACTGGGCTCCTCCTCTGATCCCTAGCCCAGAAGGCCTATGAGTCAGGTCAGGTCAGAGTCAGCTTGAGGCATGCAGGTTTTTAGAAAGTTCATCAACTCTTCCTATGCACAGCCATGACTGAGAATCACTGGAAAGAACTGAAGACAACAAGCTGTTATAAGCATTAAATAACAACAGAATATTGAATAACCCTCCTCCAGGATGGTGATCCAAGATGAAGTACATTGGCTGGAACTTATTAAATTATTAGTCTTTGTCAAATGATTACTTGATTTCTATTCCTTTGCCAAAGTTAACCACTGAAGGAAGATGGACATGGTGGATTGAAATACAGCTGTGTAAGGTACTTATACTTTTAAAGTATTAGAACAATCTTATGAAGAGTCATTATCCCCATCTTAAGAATGAGAAAAAAATGGAGGTTCATGGTGGTTAGATAACCTTCCAAGATCATACATTTTCACTCACTTTCTACTCTCTCTCAATATGTATTACCACTCAATAGTTAGGCTAGAAAGTATATGCAATGCCAGGAAAAAGGATGAAGTCCAAGTCTAGCAGAGAAATTCAAAGAAAAGTATTGAGAACTAATTTCTTTAACTTAAAAACAAGTAAGCTGAAAATCTCCCCAGTCATCAAGGTGTAGATTTGGAGAAAGCTTTAGAAAACATCTGTGCGGCGATCACTTCTGATAGCCGAGAGACTTGCAAACACATGTGGTCTAGTTGACTCTGATCTGGATTTGCAAGTCTAAAGACTTAGATTTCCAATGTTGAATTAATTTTGGCAAATCTCTTAAATTTCCAAAGATTTGTTTATCTCTGTAAAACAGAAATCTATCTCAAAGAGATGTTCAAGTGATGAAGATGAATAATGTCACTAAGAAAGAGATTAGTTTAATATATGCCCTTGATAAATGTTAGTTCCTTCTCTCCACTCTGCTAATAAGAAAAATGTGAAAAGAAACTACCCAGGGTGAGCTCTAAGAGCTAGGAGCAGAGCCTAGCTCCTCTCCCACTATTGTTTTTTCCTAATCAAAAGAGAATGCTGGGAGTGTAAATATTTGGTCTCACAAGCCTCAGACGTATCTCTCTGCTCATATAATCTACAGCATTTCTGAAATAGGAAAAAATATTCAAAGTTTATCAGTCACTGCTTCTCCTAATTCTACTCCTTGCATCATTGCATCCCTCAGGTAAACTGAAAGGGTCAACTCAAGCCTTTCAGGGACCAATCCCTTATAGTGACCTTTATCCCTCAGGGAGTAATAATTCAGCAGCTAATGCCAGGCAGTCATTTTCTGTCCTGGGATTTGTGTTGTATTTTCTGGTTGAGCAAACGGCACCATCTATTGCATTGGAGTTTGGCAGACCTTGACCCCCCTCTGGCTTTCCTCCTCTTCTAAAAAGAAAAAAAGTTAAAAACTAGTTTGATTTTTTTTAAATCATAATCATGAAGTTATTTCTATTTCTAGTTCTTTTCTTTCAATGAGTAATTATAATATTTGTATTAATTCCAGTAACTATTTTCTGTGATATTTTATTAGATGACTTCCTGGCTTCATAAAAAATTACCAGTTTCTAGCCATATAGAACTACTTGAGGGACATGATATTACATAGATCCCATGCATGTTGTAATTTGGAGGTATCTAAGATTCTAAAACTAAAGTATAGTGGCTCAAACTCAAACAGTCAAAGATATAGGTCAAGACTTCTAAATACCACATTATTAAACAGTCTCATTGATTTCTGGGTGATAGCAGTTTTGCCAACATATTTATAACTTTCATTAAATTAAAATCCAATAAGCTTTCCAATCAATCAAAATGAATGTATCGATCTCCTGTGTCATGTAGCTTGTGTCTGACAGGCCTGGCTATATATCCTGGCTTTAGATATGCTCTTTAAAATGTTGAAAAAAAGCACTAAATTATCCTGAGTCTCAATGTCCCTCAGATGTAGAAAACTGAAATACTGACCCCTTCCTTAAAATGATATTGTGAGGACAACATTAGATAATATGGTGGAGTCATATCCTGGCATATTTATTTTTCTTATGTGATTTCAAAAGTATATATACTTGGCAGAAAGAGAGAGAGAGAATTTTAAATAATGTCTGTGGTATTACCTGACAATCTCTCAATGAGCAAATGTCCTAGAGCAAGAATAAGAATCTGTAATATTTATTGAAATAAACTCAGTTCTCATTTGCCTTACATATTTTGTGCATCTCACTACACAGGGTATTATTAGAGAGTTTTAAAGGTATATTTTTCCTAACATGGCCCTTAATAAAAACCAAGCATGGCCGGGCTCAGTGGCTCATGCCTGTAATCCCAGCACTTTGGGAGGCTGAGGCAGGCAGATCATGAGGTCAGGAGATCGAGACCATCCTGACCAACATGGTGAAACCCTGTCTCTACTGAAACACAAAAAATTAGCCGAGTGTGGTGGTGCATGCCTGTAGTCCCAGCTACTCGGGAGGCTGAAGCAAGGGAATCACCTGAACCCAGGAGGTGGAGATTGTAGTGAGCTGAGATCGCGCCACTGCACTCTAGCCTGGCGACAGAGTGAGACTCCATCTCAAAAAAACAAAACAAACAAACAAAAAACAAGCTCCTGCTCAATTCAAAAAGCAACAATCTGTTTTAATAACAAAGAAAAAGCACTTGTTGTATTGGTCTTACTATGAGATTTTGTGACTATCTCTAACATAATGACATGAGACTTTTTACTTTCCCTGGATAATCAGGTAGGATTTGTAGTTGTGAGGAATAGAAAAACAACTCAAACTGTCCTAAACAATAAAAAAATCTATTAGTTCCTAGTCTTGGGTCAGAAGTGACTTGGGACTCAAACAATATTCTTGAGACCCAGGTGTTGTTCACTATTTTATAGCTTAGGATTTTCTTCTTGGTCCTCACAAAGGACTTGACTTGAAGCTGTGGAAAAAGGAAATGAACTTTTCTTATACCTCAAGTCAAAACCCAGAAATTATGTCTCAATTGGTTTTGCTGGAGCCATGTGACATCCTTGAATCAATAACTGTAGCCAAGGATGAATGACATGGAATTCATTGACTGATATGAGTCAATTAGGGCCCATCCTAAAACTGTGATGGACCAGTCTCATTCAAATTCCACATGGCTAGGAAGTGAGCATATGCCTTTCCAGGCAACTTGATGCTGGGGAAAGTAATCCACCATATGTGCTGACTTTAGAATCTAATCCTCACATAAAATGTGATTCCATAGGAACCTGTGTTGAGCACACACATGATAATATCTTATCGGCTCCCTTGTCTTTGCTGTAGCTGGATTTCTTATCTTATGTGAGGCCCAGAGGAGGATACAAAGAACACTTTAAAAAAATAAAAAAATAAGCCAAGCTGCCCTCAAGGATTGATCTTCATAAAAGAAACAGAACAATTTGTGAGAATATAAAACTATGTGCTAAATTAAGTGGTGCAGATATTGAAACATCTTCAATTTCTGGCTCTGTCATACATTATGAATAAAATATTCAATTTCACTGTCTTACATTTCATAGGAATGTTTTTAAATGTTGGTGGGTTTCACAGTGCAATTCCAAAATCAGATTGGAAAGGCTATAAAATAGCACAAATTTTAGAGATAAACAGATCTAAGGTTAAGCTGACTCATTTAAACTCCCTGAGATTATTATAATAGACATTATAAATATCTGCTTCTATGGAATATGGGGTAGGATTAAAAGAGGAGATGCATACAGCATACTGCCAAGCTCAAAACAAATAATAAATAACCATTATTGTTATTACCATGATTTGTCCCTGGCCGTTTGATTTGGCATTCAAATAGTCTCTTCCACAAAGTCAATAAAGATCGCATAAATAATAGTTTGACAATCATGATGAACCAGAGTTCTGGTACACACATACACACACACACACACACACACACACACACACACACACACACACACATTCTACTTCTCTGCAGCTTTGGCTGCAGACCTCACAGCTTGTGGATCAAGATGCTGGGAGTTGCAGCCTGCAAAGTCAACATTCAAGCAGAGGAAGGAGCATTGTTACCCCATGGCATTCTGCTTCATCTTTCCTTGGCCACACACATAATTTGTATGAGTAGGTGTTATCAACCCCTTAATCAAGTATGACTCATTTCCTCCCCAATATATGAATCGAAAGAGAACAGAACATGACCAGACCCTCCAAGAACTAGTTGGGCTGTGCCATTCTTCCAAAATTTAAGGAAATACATGTTACATTTTCAAGTGAATTGTAGGGAAGAAATTCCACTTGAAGGAGCCACTCTGTCATTCTTTCAGAAACTGTTATGGAAGCTGCTAATGGCCAAAATTCAGAAAAATTCTAAATACTGAAGCAAAACAAGCCAATCAAAAGGGAAAAACCAAATGTCACCTGCAGGTCTCTTTCCTTATGAAGGGTCCTCCTCTCAACTCAGTTGTTCACAGATGTGATCTGCTTTCTCAGCAGTGTCTTCTCCTAGCATTTTTATGTCTGAATGTGATTTCTTTATTTGCAAGCATTCCCAAAATAGCCTCTTCTCTTCAATGTGTGCATGTACTTGTGGGGGTAGAGAGGGAAAGAGGTGGAGAGAGTGAAAAGTAAATGGAGGCAGATGAGGGAAGGTCGCCCCCATAATTCTTCAGGCACACAAGGGTACACAAGGCACACTAAATCCTGAGATGCCCATGCTTGTCTATCCACTTCTTCTGGCCATCCCTCTATGAGTCACGGCCAGAATCTCCACCCTTTTCTGCAGGCAAGTAGGAGACTGTTTTGGCTAGAATCAAATAGACACAGTCACTGCTGCAAAGTACAACACCTACTGTAAGTTCTTTTGTGCTTGCTATCTCCAGAACAGCTCTTGATATTTTATCAATTTGTTCACAGAGGGAGGAGATGTATCATCAAGAAAACACATGGGATCTTGACAAATGTCTTTCTCGGTTGCGTGTTAGTGCTGAAAGAGGCATCTTTTTAAAGTGTTTGCTTTTCTTTCTTTCCTATTTTTATTTTTATTTATTTTTATTTATTTATTTATTTTTTATTATACTTTACGTTTTAGGGTACATGTGCACAATGTGCAGGTTAGTTACATATGTATACATGTGCCATGCTGGTGCGCTGCACCCACTAACTCGTCATCTAGCATTAGGTATATCTCCCAATGCTATCCCTCCCCCATCCCCCCACCCCACCACAGTCCCCAGAGTGTGATATTCCCCTTCCTGTGTCCATGTGATCTCATTGTTCAATTCCCACCTATGAGTGAGAATATGAGGTGTTTGGTTTTTTGTTCTTGCGATAGTTTACTGAGAATGATGATTTCCAATTTCATCCATATCCCTACAAAGGACACGAACTCATCATTTTTTATGACTGCATAGTATTCCATGGTGTATATGTGCCACATTTTCTTAATCCAGTCTATCATTGTTGGACATTTGGGTTGGTTCCAAGTCTTTGCTATTGTGAATAGTGCCGCAATAAACATACATGTGCATGTGTCTTTATAGCAGCATGATTTATAGTCATTTGGGTATATACCCAGTAATGGGATGGCTGGGTCAAATGGTATTTCTAGTTCTAGATCCCTGAGGAATCGCCACACTGACTTCCACAATGGTTGAACTAGTTTACAGTCCCACCAACAGTGTAAAAGTGTTCCTATTTCTCCACATCCTCTCCAGCACCTGTTGTTTCCTGACTTTTTAGTGATTGCCATTCTAACTGGTGTGAGATGGTATCTCCTCGTGGTTTTGATTTGCATTTGCTTTTCTTTCCTTCCTTTCCTATTTTTAAATATTTAAAGTTGCTCATCTGTACCTTCTCCTGGGCATTTTCCTTCTCATTTCCCTTCTATTTTAAGTAAATGTATTCTTCTAGAGCTTGGTATTACTCATGGAACAGTATTTGCAAAGGTGAATTTCATTTGAGTTAACTATACCCCACTTAGCCCAGGGCCAGTTTGAACATGGGTCAAGGAGTCTGTGGGTGCCTCTCGACAGGAAACAAGGACATATCAAATGACTTACGAAGAGATTTCCTTGAGACAACTTACTCCCCATCACTAATGTCTGTATCAGCTGCTGATTTTAAATTAGATTTCGCTCAAAATGTTCAGCCTAATGGGAGTGGAGAAAGGGATTGGGCAGCCAAGAGTATTTGAATGATTCTGCTACAGCCACCAAACTATGCTAGGTGTTTACCAAGAAACTATCTCAAAAGCTTCCTGGGAGTTCTCCTTAGGCTCTCGCTCTCCTTTCCATTCAACAATTCTTTGCTTAGTCTGTGCTTCCTCCCTGCAATAACTTTTCCTTTCTGTTCTTTCTGAATTCCTATTCATTATTTATGCCCTTCTTTTTTTTTTTTTGAGACAGAGTCTCGCTCTGTCACCCAGGCTGGAGTGCTGTGGTGCGATCTCGGCTCACTGCAAGCCCTGCTTCCCGGGTTCACACAATTCTCCTGCCTCAACCTCCCAAGTACCTGGGACTACAGACGCCCGCCACCACACCCGGATAATATTTTGTATTTTTTTTAGCAGAGACAAGGTTTCACCGTGTTAGCCAGGATGGTCTTGATCTTTATGCCCTTCTTAGTACCATCTCCTCTCTGAAACCTTTCCCTACCTTGCCACACTCCATGGCAGAATGAATTGCTTCTTCCTATGAATTCTCAGAGTTTTGTGCACATAGGTCCATCACAAAAACTTATCACACCATACCATAATGAATGGTTTATATGCCTGTCAATCTCCCTGTAATCATTATTGGGATTTTCAAGGGTATTTATTTACTTATTCTTTTGATACATCACTTAAAACTTGTATAATCTCTGGCACACAAGTGCTAAATACATATTACGTTTGAACTGCCTTTGGAGGCTTTGCTTTATTACTTAGGATGTGGCCACATTGTATCTGAAATAAAAGAGCCTGCAACAAGAAATTCAGTGCTCTGCAACCTGCCTTCTCATACCATCAGTTGAATCTCTGCTGTCGCCATCCATCCCACCACCATTAAAACATTTCCTGGAATTTCCTATCTGATCATCCTTCCAATCCATCACTCCTTTGAGCAAAACACCAACAAATACATTATGTCTAACCATTTTATTTTCTAAATTATAAAATGCACACCATATCACTAAAGAATGCATCAACTTGTATTGGGAAGAAAGGATTTTTTTTTTTTTCCTAATGAGCAACAATCATAGAATAACTATAGTAGGGTCCATATATGGCTTTCTTCAGGAACTCTTGCTGGCAATCAGTTAGGCCTCCGTATGTAGTTATATTTACTAAGGCTTTTGATTTATGCTTTGAAGCAAATATTTAGAACAAATCTTGAAAGTGAATGTTTCTCTTTTTTTTCTTCCTATCCCTGCATGTGAAGTAGCAAGGGTGTGAAATAGTTCAAATGTCTGTCCCACTGACAATGCCTCTGTGACATCACTATTTCAGCCAGAGTTCTTTAGTTTGCAAAGAACAAAGACCCACAAAGCTAGATCAATTAACCTGGAACCTGTGGTATTATAAGGCTGCTCAGTAGGTTCTCATACAGATCCAGGAATAGGAATCGAGTACAGCTGACCCAATGGGGACTGAACTGGGAATTGCACTCCTCCTCTCTGCCCATCTAAATCATTCCATTTCTCTTTACTGATTATCTTCCTATTTACCGATAGTTCATAGAGCTCATATTGCCATCTTCTGTGCCCTAACTCTACTTAAACTTTGTGTGCCATTGTCAACTGACAACTTTTACTGAGTCCCTAAGTAAAAACTCCCAAGACAGAGAGAGACTGAGAGAGAAAGAGAGAATGGTAGGAATGGTTCTGATTGTCCCAGATCACCGTTTTGAGCCACACAAGCACACAAGTCATGTATCTATAGCCTCTCTTTCACTTTGGTTTACGTGTCTACCATTTTCTTAACTCAGCTGGGGCCAAGATGATGGGATCAATGTTAAATAAAACATAGGTATTTAGGGCAATTGATTATGTTTTATAAAGGATGAAACATGCCTAGTAGAAAAAGCAATACAGAATATCTTCCCTCTAACAGTTCTTAAGCCTGTGCTCTATTCCCAGAGCCAAGCTGTCTCTTGGTAGGCCATTAAAAAAAATAAAAGTTTCAATTCAAGGTATTTTACAGAGAAACATATGACTAAAAATTAATTAATTAATTAACAAATGAAATGAGTGAAAAGTTAGAATCTGTCTATGTATAATCACTTCCAATGAAAAATGTTTCTGCCAGGCATGGTGGCTCATAATCCCAGCACTTTGAGAGGCCAAAGCAGGTGGATCACTTGAGGCCAGGAGTTCAAGACCAACCTGACCAACATAGCAAAATCCCATCTCTGCTAAAAATACAATAATTAGTCAGGTGTGTTGGTGGGCACCTGTCATCCCAGCTACTTGGGAGGCTGAGACACGAGAATTGCTTGAACCGGGAGGCAGAGGTTGCAGTGAGCCCAGATTGCACCACTGCACTCCAGCCGGGGCAACAGAGTGAGACTCTTATCTCAAAAAAAAAAAAAAATCTATTTGAGTTTCACTGTGTACCTGTTCAGGGAGTTTTAACACACATTTGTTAGTTTTAGTGGGCACAGAATGACTTCTGGAATCCAAAGGACTAGGTTTCACTTCACTTTTACTATTATTCACTGTAAAGTTTTAGCAGAACTTATTGATCATTTAAAACTTTCCTTATTTATAAAATGGGAATATGAATAATAATTGTTCATTAAAAATTATGTATTAACTATTGTGCTGTGAGATTTACATATGCTACCTTATTTAATATTCATAAATATCATAGGAGCTTAACCCCAGTTTATACAGAGAAGATAATAATAATAATTGCATTTATCTCAAGCATCTATTGAAGGGCTCTTTATGCTTGAGGCAGATACTACTACCTTCATCTAACAGATTAGGTGGCTGAGGAACTAAGAGGGTAATTGTCTGCCCAAGCACACACAGCTCATAAGTAACAGAACTAAATTCCTATTCCAGTCTCTTTCCAAAGCTTCTGTTCTTAAGCAGAATACATCACTATCCTAAAATAACCTGCTGCTGCACTTCCTCACATTTGTTGAGCAGAACCAGTGAGACTGTAAAAGTGAAAATGTTTGGATGCAGTAAGTGTCTATATTAGGGATGAGACATGTATGGCATCTGTGTCACCAATCCCTCTCTGTCCACTGACAGCACTGCTAATTGCAGGGGTCAACAAACTCTGGCCCAGCAGAGGGCCAAAGCCTGCAAACTGTTTTGGTAAAGGAAGGTTTTTTGGGACACAGCCACACCATTTCATTTATGTATTGTCTTGGCTGCTTTTGGACCAAAAACAGCAAAATCGAGCAGTTGCAACAGAGATCATATGGCTTGCAAAGCCTAAAATATTTACTATCTGGCCCTATACAGAAAAAGTTTGCCAACCTCTGGATTAGAGCATAATGATCTGGTAACTAAGACACAGCTTCAGATTTGTTATCAACAAATCTGGAGCCATTTTCCTCCTGGTACCTACTACCGGTTGACTGAAATTTGACAAGGAAATAAACCTATTGAATATTCCTATAATCTAAAACTGTTTATTATTATTACTACTAAATCAAATAGAGAAATGAATGGAATCATTGATAAATCAATGGACTCAAGTAAGGTAACAGGAATACCTAGCCGCATTTGGAAATTCAGACTTCCTTTTGCCTGGATTTCTCCTTTTAAACCTTGGGGTGAAAAGATAGTGGGAATCACTCAATTAAAGTGTTTCTGACTTAGGGGCAGAAAGGGGGAAGAATGGGGAGAATACTGGGCAAACCACATTGTTATCCCGTTGTTTCTGGAGATCCTATCCTATGGGGCCTTAGCAGGCTTCCATATCACAATATGACTAACTGCCACCTAAATGAACGAAATCTGATTCACCACATACTTGAATACAGAAGGAAAAATGTGGATGAAAAAGAGCTATCTGAAAACCTTCAGGAGAAAGTAGAGTATAGAGAGTGAAGGGGGTGGAGTGGGCTGTGTTGCCTATTCTGGTACATTCAGAAATTCTATTTCAAGTCAACTTTAAATTTCAGTATCTTGTTCTTAAATGCCAGGCACAAAATGGCCACAGCACAGCTATCTTAACCTTGGGAGGGACAGTTTTTTTAAACATATGCCTTCAGCCATGTACAGAGTGAGCTGAAGGGCCACAGTGCAGAATATGTAGAACAATGGTCTAGTAGCTTATCCAAAAGGAATATTGTGCATGCAGTTTTCCAAAACACCCACTCCTCAGAGATAATGCCAGTGAGTTAATCAACTACTTTTCTGCCTGCACAACTGTGATACCTAAAGCTGCTAGGAACATCATTTTTAGACATTCGTAGGAGGGATTATTTTTTGTAATTCTACATTTCTTTAACTCCTACCACATGTCTAGGCTTGCCTTCCAGAGACACACATTGCTACCTTTTCAGAGCACTTTTTTCTTTTTTTTTTTGATCATGGACTAAGAAGCCCTCCTACAGCTAATTGCAGTAAATGCTAAAACAGCAAACAATTTCACTGGAAGGACATAAAATGACCTGCACGCAGGTCCTGTTAGGCACCCTAAAATGAAGCCTATCATTCACCTCTCCTTCAAACCTCCTTTTGCTCTTGCCTCCCCAGGAACCATGACTCCCCTCCAGCACCCAAACTAAAACAAAAGGGGTAGTCAACTCTTGACACCTTTTGCTTGAAAGTATACTATATGCCAAAGCCTAGAACAATGACAGTAAACAAGGAAGGAATTCAGGTGATTCAGTGATGAAGAATACAATATTCCAATGGCTTAGTGACAGGTAAATAAAGCATGCAAAAGAATGGATCATGTGCTGATAGAGGCAATGAATCATGTAGAGAAGAAGGGATGTGAGGGAAATATACCCAAGAAGAAGATATATTTAAATTGAAGTATAAAAACATGAACAAGACTTAGCCAAGAAAAGAGTGGGAAAAAAATCTGTTCCAGGCACAAGGAACAGCATATACAAAGACCTGGAAAAGACAGAAAGCATTTTGCAACTGCAGGAAGACAGATAGAATTAGTTACGAAATTAGGCACATAAGCTTGGTGGTCAGAAAGATCTGGATCTGGATCTCAATTCTGTGACTTTGAGTAAGTTATGTAACCTTTCTATGTCTCATACTTTTCATCTGTAAAGTAGAGATTATAACAGTGCTTTTTCTGTGGAGTTACTGTAAGGATTAAACACCTATAATTCAAGTAGCACAAAATTAGGCAATCAAAAACTATCAGGTTATTATATTACTATTTTATTATTTATATTATTGTGACTATTATTTTTAATATCAAAAAGCTTACTTTTAAACTTTTTTATAACAATCTTTAAAAAATCTCAACTGAGAAAAAAACTACCTATTCTCCTGGAATTTTATAAAAATTAAAAAACTAATGCTTGTCTCCAAGTAAAAATAAAAAATAAGTATTAGAAATGCTTTCAGCTACAAATAACAGAAGACCTTCTGGCAGAGTCAACATAAAAACAAAAAAATAGGGCAGTTCCAAGATGGCCAAATAGGAACAGCTCCAGTCTATAGCTCCCAGCATGAGCAATGCAGAAGACGGGTGATTTCTGCATTTCCAACTGAGGTACCAAGTTCATCTCACTGGGGCTTGTTGGAAAGTGGGTGCAGGACAGTGGGTGCAGCGCGCTGAGCATGAGCCAAAGCAGAGGGAGGCATCATCTCACCTGGGAAGCACAAGGGGTCAGGGAATTCCCTTTCCTAGCCAAGGGAAGCTGTGACAGACGACACCTGGAAAATCGGGTCACTCCCACCCTAACACTGCGCTTTTCCAACCGTCTTAGAAAATGGCACACCAGGAGATTATATCCCGCACTGGGCTCGGAGGCTCCCACACCCACGGAGCCTTGCTCATTGCTAGCACAGCAGTCTGAGATCGAACTGCAAGGTGGCAGCAAGGCTGGGGGAGGGGCGCCCACCATTGCCGAGGTTTGAGTAGGTAAACAAAGCGGCCAGGAAGCTCTAAGTGGGTGGAGGCCACTGCAGCTCAAGGAGGCCTGCCTGCCTCTGTAGACTCCACCTCTGGGGGCAGGGCATACCTGAACAAAAGGCAGCAGAAATCTCTGCAGACTTAACTGTCCCTGTCTGACAGCTTTGAAGAGAGCAATGGTTCTCCCAGCATGGAGTCTGAGATCTGAGAACGGACCAACTGCTTCCTCAAGTGGGTCCCTGACCTCCGAGTAGCCTAACTGGGAGGCAGGCCCCCGTAGGGGCAGACTGACACCTGACATGGCCAGGTACCCCTCTGAGATGAAGCTTCCAGAGGAACGATCAGGCAGCAACATTTGCTGTTCAGCAATATTCACTGTTCTGCATCCTCTGCTGGTGATAGCCAGGCAAAAAGGGTCTGGAGTGGACCTCCAGCAAACTCCAGCAGACCTGCAGCTGAGGGTCCCAACTGTTAGAAGGAAAACTAACAAACAGAAAGCACATCCACACCAAAACCCCATGTGTACATCACCATCATCAAAGACCAAAGGCAGATAAAACCACAAAGATGGGGGAAAATGCAGAGCAGAAAAGCTGAAAATTTAAAAATCAGAGCGCCTTTCCCCCTCCAATGGAACACAGCTCCTTGCCAGCAATGGAACAAAGCTGGATGGAGAATGACTTTGACGAGTTGAGAGAAGAAGGCTTCAGATGATCAAACTTCTCTGAACTAAAGGAGGAAGTTCAAACCCATTGCAAAGAAGCTAAAAACCTTGAAAAAAGACTAGACAAATGGCTAACTAGAATAACAAGTGTAGAGAAGTCCTTAAATGACCTGATGGAGCTGAAAACCATGGCATGAGAACTACATGACAAATGCACAAGCTTCAGTAGCTGATTTGATCAACAGGAAGAAAGGGTATCAGTGACTGAAGATCAAATGAATGAAATGAAGTGAGAAGAGAAGTTTAGAGAAAAAAGAGTAAAAAGAAACGAACAGACTCCAAGATATATGGGACTATGTGAAAAGACCAAATCTACATCTGATTGGTGTACCTGAAAGTGACGGAGAGAATGGAACCAAGTTGGAAACACTCTGCAGGATATTATCCAGGAGAACTTCCCCAACCTAGTAAGGCAGGCCAACATTCAAATTCAGGAAATACAGAGAATGCCACAAAGATACTCCTCAAGAAGAGCAACTCCAAGACACATAATTGTCAGATTCACCAAAGTTGAAATGAAGGAAAAAATGTTAAGGGCAGCCAGAGAGAAAGATCAGGTTACCCACAAAGGGAAGCCCATCAGACTAACAGCGGATCTCTCGGCAGAAACTCTACAAGCCAGAAGAGAGTGGGGGCCAATATTCAACATTCTTAAAGAAAAGAATTTTCAACCCAGAATTTCATATCCAGCTAAACTAAGCTTCATAAGTGAAGGAGAAATAAAATGCTTTACAGACAAGCAAATGCTGAGAGTATTTGTCACCACCAGGCCTGCCCTAAAAGAGCTCCTGAAGGAAGCACTAAACATGGAAAGGAACAACCGATACCAGCCACTGCAAAAACATGGCAAATTGTAAAGACCACTGATGCTCGGAAGAAACTGCATCAACTAATGAGCAAAATAACCAGCTAACATCATAATGACAGGATCAAATTCACACATAACAATATTAACCTTAAATGTAAATGGGCTAAATGCTCCAATTAAAAGACACAGAATGGCAAAGTGGATAAAGAGTCAAGACCCGTCAGTGTGCTGTATTAAGGAGACCCATCTCATGTGCAGAGACACACATAGGCTCAAAATAAAGGGATAGAGGAAGATCTACCAAGCAAACGGAAAACAAAAAAAGGCATGGATTGCAATCCTAGTCTATGATAAGACAGACTTTAAACCAACAAAGATCAAAAGAGACAACGAAGGCCATTACATAATGGTAAGGGGATCAATTCAACAAGAAGAGCTATACTATCCTAAATATATATGCATCCAATACAGGAGGACCCAGATTCATAAAGCAAGTCCTTAGGGACCTACAGAGAGACTTAGACTCCCACACAATAATAATGGGAGACTTTAACACCCCACTGTCAACATTAGATCAACGAGACAGAAAGTTAAAAAGGATATCCAGGAATTGAACTCAGCTCTGCACCAAGCAGACCTAATAGACATCTACAGAACTCTCCACCCCAAATCAACAGAATATACATTCTTCTCAGCACCACATCACACTTATTCCAAAATTGACCACACAGTTGGAAGTAAAGCACTCCTCAGCAAATGTAAAAGAACAGAAATTATAACAAACTGTCTCTCAGACCACAGTGCAATCAAACTACAACTCAAGATTAAGAAACTCACTCAAAACCACTCAACTACATGGAAACTGAACAACCTGCTCCTGAATGACTACTGGGTACATAATGAAATGAAAGCAGAAATAAAGATGTTCTTTGAAACCAATGAGAACAAAGACACAACATACCAGAATCTCTGGGACACACTAAATTTCCCTCTACATGTGTAGAGGGAAATTTATAGCACTAATGGCCCACAAGAGAAAGCAGGAAAGATCTAAAATTGACACCCTAACATCACAATTAAAAGAATTAGAGAAGCAAGAGCAAACACATTCAAAAGCTAGCAGAAGGCAAGAAATAACTAAGATCAGAGCAGAACTGAAGGAGATAGAGACACAAAAAACTCTTCAAAAAATCAATGAATCCAGGAGCTGGTTTTTTGAAAAGATCAACAAAATTGATAGACTGCTAGCAAGACTAATAAAGAAGAAAAGAGAGAAGAATCAAATGGACACAATAAAAAATGATAAAGGGGATATCACCACTGATCCCACAGAAATACAAACCACCATCAGAGAATACTATAAACACCTTTATGCAAATAAACTAGAAAATCTAGGAGAAATGAATAAATTCCTTGACACATACACCCGCCCAAGACTAAACCAAGAAGAAGCTGAATCCCCGAATAGACCAATAACAGGCTCTGAAATTGAGGCAATAATTAATAGCCTACCAACAAAAAAAAGTCCAGGACCAGATGGATTCACAGCCAAATTCTACCAGAGGTACAAGGAGGAGCTGTTACCATTCCCTCTGAAACTATTCCAATCAATAGAAAAAGAGGGAATCCTCCCTAACTCATTTTATGAGAACAGCATCATCCTGATACCAAAGCCGGGCAGAGACACAACAAAAAAAGAGAATTTTAGACCAATATCCCTGATGAACATTGATGCAAAAATCCTCAATAAAATACCGGCAAACCGAATCCAGCAGCACATCAAAAAGCTTATCCACCATGGTGAAGCAGGCTTCATTTCTGGTATGCAAGGCTGGTTCAACATATGCAAATCAATAAATGTAATCCAGCATATAAACAGAACCAAAGAGAAAAACCACATGATTATCTCAATAGATGCAGAAAAGGCCTTTGACAAAATTCAACAGCCCTTCATGCTAAAAACTCTCAATAAATTAGGTATTGATGGGACGTATCTCAAAATAATAAGAGCTATTTAGGACAAAGCCACAGCCAATATCATACTGAATGGGCAAAAACTGGAAGCATTCCCTTTGAAAACTGGCACAAGACAGGGATGTCCGCTCTCAACACTCCTATTCAACATAGTGTTAGAAGTTCCAGCCAGGGCAATCAGGCAGGAGAAAGAAATAAAGGGTGGTCAATTAGGAAAAGAGGAAGTCAAATTGTCCCTGTTTGCAGATGACATGATTGTGTATTTAGAAAACCCCACTGTCTCAGCCCAAAATCTCCTTAAGCTGATAAGCAACTTCAGCAAAGTCTCAGGATACAAAATCAATGTGCAAAAATCACAAGCATTCTTATATACAAATAACAGACAAACAGAGAGCCAAATCATGAGTGAACTCCCATTCACAATTGCTTCAAAGAGAATAAAATACCTAGGAATCCAACTTACAAGAGATATGAAGGACCTCTTCAAGGAGAACTACAAACCACTGCTCAATGAAATAAAAGAGGACATAAACAAATGGAAGAACATTCCATGCTCATGGGTAGGAAGAATCAATATCGTGAAAATGGCCATACTGCCCAAGGTAATTTATAGATTCAATGCCATCCCCATCAAGCTACCAATGACTTTCTTCACAGAATTGGAAAAAACTGCTTTAAAGTTCATATGGAACCAAAAAAGAGCCCACATCACCAAGTCAATCCTAAGCCAAAAGAACAAAGCTGGAGGCATAATGCTACCTGACTTCAAACTCTGCTACAAGGCTAGAGTAACCAAAACAGCATGGTACTGGTACCAAAACAGAGATATAGACCAATGGAACAGAACAGAGTCCTCAGAAATAATACCACACATCTACAACCATCTGATCTTTGACAAACCTGACAAAAACAAGAAATGGGGAAAGGATTCCCTATTTAAAAATGGTGCTGGGAAAATGGGCTAGCCATATGTAGAAAATGGAAACTGGATCCCTTCCTTACACCTTATACAAAAATTAATTAAACATGGATGAAAGACTTAAATGTCAGACCTAAAACCATAAAAACCCTAGAAGAAAACCTAGGCAATACCATTCAGGACATAGGCATGGGCAAGGACTTCATGTCTAAAACACAAAAAGCAATGGCAACAAAAGCCAAAATTGACAAGTGGGATCTAATTAAACTAAAGAGCTTCTGCACAGCAAAAGAAACTACCATCAGAGTCAACAGGCAACCTACAGAATGGGAGAAAATTTTTGCAATCTACTCATCTGACAAAGCGCTAATATCCAGAATCTACAAAGAACTCAAACAAATTTACAAGAAAAAAACCAACAACCCCATCAAAAAGTGGGCAAAGGATATGAACAGACACTTCTCAAAAGAAGACATTTATGCAGCCTACAGACACATGAAAAAATGCTCATCATCACTGGCCATCAGAGAAATGAAAACCAAAACCATAATGAGATATCATCTCACACCAGTTAGAATGGCCATCATTAAAAAGTCAGGAAACAACAGGTGCTGGAGAGGATGTGGAGAAATAGGAACACTTTTACACTGTTTGTGGGACTGTAAACTAGTTCAACAATTGTGGAAGACAGTGTGGCGATTCCTCAAGGATCTAGAACTAGAATTACCATTTGACACAGCTATCCCATTACTGGGTATATACCCAAAGGATTATAAATCATGCTGCTATAAAGACACATGCACCCGTATGTTTATTGCAGCACTATTCACAATAGCAAAGACTTGGAACAACCCAAATGTCCAACAGTGATAGACTGGATTAAGAAAATGTGGCACATATACACCATGGAATACTATGCAGCCATAAAAAGGATAGTTCATGTCCTTTGTGGGGACATGGATGAAACTGGAAACCATCATTCTCAGCAAACTATCGCAAGGACAAAAAACCAAACACTGCATGTCCTCACTCATAGGTGGGAATTGAACAATGAGAACACTTGGGCACAAGAAGGGGAACATCACACACCGGGGTCTGTCGTGGGGTCGGGGGAGAGGGGAGGGATAGCATTAGGAGATATACCTAATGTCAATGATGAGTTAATGGGTTCAGCACACCAACATGGCACATGTATACATATGTAACAAACCTGCATATTGTGCACATGTATCCTAGAACTTAAATTATAATAATAAAAAATAAAAATTAAAAAGGGGGTATTTTTCTTACATAAAAATAAACTTGGAGATAGGTGCTTGCTGGTATTGATTTAGAAGGTTGATGCTGTTTGGTCTGACATTCTGAAATTTTCTTGAAATTTCCATTCTTTGTCCTTCTCTAAGGGCAGAAAGGTATGATGTATTTTCTCACCCATTATAAGGATCATGGCCTACATGCCTTCTACATGAAAGATGGGTTAACAAGAGAAAAGCGTAGCAAACTTAGTCAAAGCTTTATGTGACATGGGAGCCTTCAGAAATGAAGACCCAAAGACCCAGGGAAAGCTATCTATTTTTATGCTTAGGTACAATGAAGAATAAATGGCTGCATAGAAGTCTGATTGGACAAAGGGTATAATATAATGGTAATAGACTAATAAGGGAGGGGAGACCCTGTAAGGCTTGCCTGTTCAGATTGTTCTTAGTTTCTGTGTAGCATTCTTTCCTCCCAGGTATGGGGCAAGAGCCCTCTGAAATGAGAGTCTTCAAGAGAAAAATTAAAGGAGTGACTTTCTAGGTTTTATGGCTTGCTTTGGAGGAGAAATTTGGTTGGTGTGTTGTCTCATCTGCCATTAAACCAGACTCCCAATCTCAAGAATAGTTCAGTCCAGTTAAACAGTTAACAATTGTATCTCATCTCAGGAGGCAATGTTGTAGGTGAGCTTTCACCAAAGTTAGGCTTTTATGTAGTGTAAACAAGCAAGTATTTAATAAGAGGTATTTTTATAGAAACAAAGTAAAAACAAAGGTTAATAGAACAAACTAAACTCAATTTTTGAGTCCAGAGGGCACCTGGTCAAGATTTCTAGATGTTAGTCTCCAAGTAGCTTCAGTTGAAACAAGGGCAGGCAGTGGTAATTTGAACAAATTTTCTTGGTTTACTGTTTGCATGGGGTGCACCAGTGAACTTCCTGAATAGTCTCTACAGCAACAGGCATGAAGGTTGTTCGTACACAAATTGTGGTAATTTATCTGAAGTCTATATAAAGTGATCCAGCTTCAGTTTGCTAGGCTTCAGGAAAAGAGCAGTTTTTTTGTTTTTGTATTTTTTTCAATGATTCCAAGCCAGAAAGTGGGAGAAAAATTAGTATTAATTATTTGAAGACTTGCAGCCAGAAATGGGAGGAAACTAGAAAATTCAAGAATGCAGTCCAGATTTTAGGTAACTAACAAACCTTCAAAAACAATGAGCTAGAATCTAATAACAGATACACTATAATTTTCTTCTGAAACAGAATTTTTTTGTACAGTCACCCGCATTCTACCAAAAATAAATCAAAGACTGATTTGTTTGCAAAATTGGTTTAGTTTCATTCAACTTGACCTGCTTATTTTAAAAAGTGCAGCAAGAATAGTGATTGACCAATAAGCTCTCTTTACATTTGCTTTGCTGGTACTTCTTATAAGAAATCTCAGTGAGGAAGTCAAGACAAGAACTCACCATCAAAATTAACCTATAGGACCTATAAATTTGGATAAATTTATTTCTACTTGAGGTCCCCAAAATATCCCGAGATTTCTTGGTCTGTTAGGAAGTGAGATTCTTTACCTACTTGAAGGGTAACTGTGTGGACCATATATTTAAGGTAGCAAGCCAGTTTTTCCAAGGAGTTCTTTATTGGCTCTATAAAGTCAACCCTAGTTTCTTAAAGTTGTCTGATCACAAATGAAAATAAGGCATTCCAAAAAAGTTTTGGTAATAAAACCAGTATTTCTATTTGTATCCTGTTATAAGGATAACAGATTTATATTGAACTTATGCAAATAACTATATTGCCATAAGAATAAGAATACTCAGGCCAGGTATGGTGGCTCATGCCTGTAATCCCAGCACTTTGACAGGCCAAGGTGGGCAGATCACTTGGAGCCAGGCGAAATCCCGTCTCTACTAAAAATACAAAAATTAGCCAGGTGTGGTGGCAGGTGCCTGTAATCCCAGCTACTTGGGAGGCTGAGGCACAAGAATCACTTGAACCCAGGAGGCAGAGGTTGTAGTGAGCCAAGATCATGCACTGAACTCCAGCCTGGGCAACAGAGAGTGAGACTCTGTCTCAAAAAGAAAAAGAAAAAGAAAAAAGAATAAGAATACTCATAAATAATATTTTTTAATTCTGAAGGAATCAGGTGAAAAAAAGTAATTTTTTTATATTTTTGTTCATAAAATTATAGTTTACCAAATGACTGTAAGCTATAGCTAGCTTAAACAAAAATAAATTTCTTAAATCTGAATAACAAAACTTTTATTAAAACAATAAAATTTCAAAGAAAATGTCATAAAAACATTTTTTTTTCTTTTTTGAGACAGGGTCTCACCTTGTCACCCAGGCTGCAGTGGCATGATCCCAGTTCACTGCAACTTCCACCTCCTGGGTTCAAGTGATTCTCATGCCTCAGCCACCCAAGTAGCTGTGATTACAGGTGCATGCCACCACCACCACACCCGATTAATTTTTGTATTTTTCATAGAGATAGGCTTTCACCATGTTGGCCAGGCTGGTCTTGAACTCCTGGCTTCAAGTGATCCTTCTGCAGCAGCCTCCCAAAGTACTGGGATTACAGGCATGAGCCACTGCGCCCTGACAAAAATATTCTTATCAGTTAATTTAGTTCCATGTAATTAATTATTGTTCTGTTTGATTTTGGTTGGCAGTTTCATGAAGCCATCAGTTTCTTCATCAGAGTACTGAAAATTCTTACCCAGTCCAGTGATGTATTCTTTATCAGAAACCTATACTCAAGAGTACTTTAGAGTCTTTTTCATGAATCTTCCTGAAGAAGCAAGTTTGGACTATAGCTGATTAAAAGTGCTTTTAGAGAAGAAGGAAAACAATAACCATCTATGAATGACAAAGAATGGCCATGTATGACAAAGAATGGCCATCTATGAATGACAAAGAATGGCCATGTATAAAATCAGGTGAGAGACTTCATTATAAAAATGATGCAACTTACAAAAAATTTTGGTTATTTCTGTGGTATACAACATTTTAATATAATAATCAAAATTATGACAGATTTCTAGGAATTCTATATAATTTTTGGAACACTATCAAAAACATACTTAGATGTTGTTGATATTAACATATATATGTTTAAAAGGTTTAGCAACACTTATTATTTGACAATGCATCCCATGTAATTTAACATATCAAATAAGACTTATTAGTTTAATATCTCTCTTTTATAAAGTGAGAGACACATCCTTTAAGCTTTCCAGGGACCCAACTGAAAAATTCCAAAGTTAATTCAAAGTCAAACAGAGTTAATTTAGAATTTGACTTTGGGAAGTTTGTCAAAAACGTCAAATGGTTTAAAACACATGATTAAATATGAGCTTGGCTATCTATTCAAAATGACAATAACATATTTTAAAGGCAAATGCAGGAGGTTACATACTGTGAACAATGACCTAGCTCTTTTAATACTGAGAAGACTCACTTTTTATTAATAAAAATAAAAATAATCAAGGCGGGGTGTGGTGGCTCAGGCCTGTAATTCCAACATTTTGGGAGGCTGAGGTGTGCAAATCACTTGATCCCAGGAGTTCAAGACTAGCCTGGGCAAAATAGTAAAACTCCCATTTCTACAAAAACTACAAAAAATTAGTTGGGCATTGTGGCATGCACTTGTGGTCCCAGCTTGGGACTTGGAGGCTGAGATGAAAGGATCAGTTAAGCCCAGAAGGCGGAGGTTGCAGTGAGCTGAGATCACACCACTGCACCCCAGGCTGAGTGACAAAGTGAAATCCTGTCTCAAAAAAAAAAAAAAAAAAAAAAAAGTAATCAAAGACCTAATAACACAAAGTGTAAGAAATTATCTTTTTTTTTTTTTGAGACAAAGTTTTGCTCTTGTTGCACAGGCTGGAGTGCAATGGCACAATCTTGGCTCACCACAACCTCCACCTCAAGGGTTCAAGTGATTCTCCTGCCTCAGCCTCCCGAGTAGCTGGGATTACAGGCATGTGCCACCACGCCCGGCTAATTTTGTATTTTTAGCAGAGACAGGGTTTCTCCATGTTGGTTAGGCTGGTCTTGAACTGCTGACCTCAGGTGATCCGCCCGCCTCGGCCTCCCAAAGTGCTGGGATTACAGGTGTGAGCCAACGCGAGCCACCACACCCGGCCTAGAAATTATCTTGACAAAACACAAAATATTTGTTTCCTAACAAATTATTTAAAAGGAGAAAAAAAAAAAACCCCTTCACATTCTCAGACCAATACTCCAAGAAAACGTCATGATTTTAAACTAAGAAAAAGAAATTCTAGTTAGATCAGGGTAATATAGCTAATTTTAATAAAACCTGATGAATAAATTTATCCAGTCTCAGTCATCTTTGACTGATAACACAAGGTAAAATTTTTACAAACCTTTTATAACTTTTTGTTATATCCATAAGCTTTTTTTTTTAAAAAAAAATACTTTTGTACCTTTCTTTATCAAAACATCTATTTTCTTCACATACAGAGTTGTTTCTCTATACAGCCATATCTCATTTTGTTGCTCTTCATTTTATTGTGCTTTGCAGATATTGCATTTTTAAATAAATTGACAATTTGTGGCAACTCTAAGTTGAGTGAGTCTATTTGCATCATTTTTTCAATAGCATGTGCTCACTTTGTTTTTGTCAGCATTTTTTTAGCAAAGGAAGTATTTTTAAATTAAGGCAAGTACAATTTTTTTTTCAACATAATGCATTGAACACTTAATGGACTACAATATCGTATAAACATGACTTTTATATGCACTAGTGATATGACTCCGATGACTGGAGGAATATCAGGGTCCTTAGTCTCATCCCAATTTTGATAAAATGACACGGAGACACATGGAGTGGTTTTAAGGAGCGGGAAGTTTAATAGACGAGAAAGAAGGAAGAAACTCCCCGACACAGAGACAGAGGGAGGGAGGGCTCCAAAGCCAAGAGAGGAAACTCCCCTGTGCAGCGGAAAAGTGGCTGCTTATATGAGAAGGCTGGAGGAGGTGGTGTCTGATTTGCATAGGGCTCAGGGGCTGCTTTGACCAGGCAGGTCATTTATGGAGCTGTGAAAAACCTAGCCCTTCCACCCTAGCCTTTCAATATGCAAATGCACAGCACCATGATGTTCTACACACGTGGGGATATGTGGGGGCAACCATGTTGCCAGGCACATGTGGGGGCAAGGAAGAAGTTGCCAGGAATTGACATGTTTTGGTGGACCCAGTTTCTAAGGGGCCCATTTGCATATCAAAGTTTGCTGACCGAGCTTTAAGAACCAGGGCTTTCCTGCTAGGCAAAAAATGTTTCTGGAGCTGCTTAAAAGAAACAAAAACTTCCCAAGGACCCCTTTTCCTCTTTATTTGCCTAAAATAATTTCTTAATAACTCCTATTACACTGGGAAATCAAAAGTATGTATGACTCACTTTATTGCAGTATTCACTTTATTGCAATGATCTGGAACCAAACCTGCAACGTCTCCAAGGTATGCTTGTAATTTCTAGTAGCTTAATAACATATGCTAATTATAATCTTTAACTCTAGTAACCTTAATTTCTAATGAAAACTAGCAAGCATTGTAAATTGGCTTACATCAGCATTTACCATTTTATAATTTCCAGAAAGATGTTTCCTCAGTTTTTCATGCTTATTACCAGACTCAGATATATGTAGCTCTCTATGACATATAAAAACAGGATGCTAAAATATTTAAACTTAAACTTATGCTTAGTACTTAATGTTTTAGTATTTTACCTTACTGAGGCATATAGCAAGTACATATTACTTAATCTCACATTAAGGTTTTAAGTTACCAAAAAAGATTTTTGAAGATATTCTTAAGTAGACATATGTTATAAAGCATAATTATATTGAAAATTTTACTCATAGACTTTTATCTCACATTCATCTAATTCATTCATCTTTAAGAATTATGCTTGAACTGTGTATGAAAATTTTATAACACAGTAAATAAAGCTAACCACTATCTTATCTTTTTTGTTGACAAATCAGAGAAGTATCAAAAAATCACAGACACAAACTAAAAAGCTAAACATGTTATCTCCTCTATTTTTTTTTTTTTTTTAGAAACTGACATGCATCAAGCAATTAATTCATGTTTTACTGTGCATTCTGCTTTTAGGCTAGATTTCTAGTTTTATAATCTTAAACATCTAACAGAGACAATACAAACCTGTCTGTACCAAAAACCCAGGCAAAAATGTATGTCTGTATTAGATTTAATGATATAAACATACAGACAGAGCAGATTTTACAGTTTCTATTCTATAACTTTTAGCCACATGCCAGGTTCAATAATTTAAAGCTCACTAGCTGGATCTGTCAAATGGGTAAGGTAAGGCTATCTTCTCAAATGACTACAGCTTTTTACCAATTTTTCTGGAGAAGGCTTTTAAGAGTTTTCATTTGACCAGTTTCCAAATAGTTTATTTTTTTCTCTTTTCTATGAAAGTCATCTCCCTGAAGTTTTTATTGCAAAGGGTAACTATCAAGTTCTAGAGAAGAGTGTAGAAAATTTACGAATCAAAGGCACAGAGAAAGCCTACTATCAGAGACCGATCTTATGGAGACTATGAACTAGATTGTAAGCTAGTGCCTGAGGAGACATCTTACAGCTGTTTAAATGTCTTCAAAGACCCACCTGAGTGGACGAGTTATCCATTTCTGTTACAACTGAATTTGTTGCATTTTTCTCGATTTTTGTCTGAAGTTCTCACTAGAGAGTGTTTATAGACACTCTCTAGTGAGAGAGATGGGCTTATCAAGATAGCCACTCTATGGTAGAGCCCCAACTGGGAGGCTCATTAGGCTCAGGTATGTCAATTAAGTGAGACACAGAGGAAGATTCAAAATGAATGCTGAGGTAACATAAAATTATGGGAATTTACTACAGGATTTTACAAGGACATATACAGATGGACCTAGGAGAAGGTTTAGAAGCCTAACTAAAGTCTGGCCACAGAAACCAGAGTCCTTCTAAGAAGGGGTCTTAGAGAAGCCAGTTTAAGAAGATTTTGAGTCCCCTTCCCCATCCCCCTAAAAAACCAATGATATTCTACATTCTCCTCAGCAAAAAAATCTTGCCAGCAAGAAAGAAAACAGAAGGGCTGAGCATATAGTTAGCAGGGATTCAACAAGAGGAGTTTCAGTCAACTAAGTTCCCATGGAAGAAGCAATATCCAATAGTGAGAACACAGAGGCCTTAAAAAAAGTAAAGCCTGAATATCAGCTTTCAATTAATCAGACTTCTGACCACAGAATTCATTGAAGAAAAAAACAAAACAAAAAAACTTTTCAAATATTTTATTTTCAGATTTCAGCCAGAACAAACAGCAACTGCTTGAACTACTTGTGGCTTTTTTTTTTCTGCTTTTAAACTGAGGCCCCAACCAAGTGACTCAGAACCAAAATCAGTCAGTCTTTTATGACTTAACCAAGGATGAAAGAGATGTCCTGAAAAGAGGGTGCAAAAAGATGTAGTCCTCCCAAGATCCAGAATCATCCGCAAAAGACAGTCAAAAGAAAAAAAGACCTTTGTTGCCACAGAACTAAGCAATGAAGGCTGAGACCAAAAAAAAAAAAACAAAAAAAAAAAAAGAAAAACAAAAAAAAAACAGGCCTCTCATGAATTGGAACCTCTAATAAGACAAATTCCCCTGAGAGCTGACACTACATGACAAAAAAAAAAAAACATTTGGACTGGCTGCCTGATGTAAGCTGACACTTGCATCCCCCAGCTGGTAGAGACCAGAGAGAATATTCTCACTGATCATAAAACCAAACCTTCAGGACACAGAACAAGACAAATAGGAAAGAAATGGATGTCCCCGGAAAGGAAAAGATCAATAACAAATATGTACTTCCAAACCAAATTTACACAAAAGACACAATCCAAACAAATGATTTCTTCCTGCTAATCTGAATTTGGGAAGGAAGGGATAAAAACAAATGCTTACCTTCCATTCTTAATTGGGCACTACAGGCAGAGATCCAGGAGAGGTGACCTTGGTTTAAAAAAAAAAATGTGTGTTGTTGTTGTTGTTGTTGTTGATTTTTTGTTAGTTGTCCCAAGATCTGGTGTGAGGTGTTTCAATGACCCCACATTGGGCACCAGAAACTGTAGGGGCAGGAAAGGGGTGTGATAACTTGATATTATAGGAGGAGCAAACGTAGCACTTACTCACCCATTGTAAGTGTTACGTTTGATCCTCCTATAATAAAAGATAGGTTAACAAGAGAAAAGCATGACAAATTTGTTTAATCAAAGTTTTATGTGACACAGGAGCCTTCAGAAATGAAGACCAAAAGACCCAGGGAAAACTACTTTTATGCTTAGGTTTGATGAAGAGTGGACATCCATGTTGAAATGTGATTAGACAAAAAGGGTGATTGAGTGGTAAAAGACAGAGGAAAACCCAGTAAGTCCTGTCTGTTCAGATTCTTCTGGGTTTCTGTAGAATTCCTTCCTCCTAGATATGGGCCAGGACCCCTCTGATATGAGGTTCTTTAAGGGAGAAGAGAAAAGAGTGACCTTTCTAAGTTTAATGGCTTGCTTTGGGGAAAGGGTTCTAGTTTCTATGACCCACTCTAGGCAAGAGGAATTCTACGACTCACTTCAGGAGAGAAAGAGAGCAGGAGAAGGTCAGAGAGAGATTTTGCTTTTGAGGCTTTCCCATCTCCTTTAGTTCAAAGTACTCAGCATGCCAAAGTGCCATACTTTGTGTTATCATTTTCTGAGCCCCAATGCTTGGGTCACATATGGTAGCTTCAGCTCCTGACATTAGATCCACATTCAAGGAAAGAAAAATGAGAAAGGGATGATGCCAGGCAGATATATCCCCTTTTAATAGGAAAGCAAACCCTCCCCCAAAACATTCAGGAGACTTCCATCTACCATGTGTTAAGCACAGCTGCACACAGAACCAAGCAATGAAGGACACAGAACCAAGCCATGAAGTTGTGTGGCTACTGTTGGCTCAAGGGAAACTGAAATATGAGCGTCTATCTGGGCACATTGCTCCCCAATCTGGAGTTTTGTCAGCAAAGAAGGAGTGAATGAATATTAAGTAAGCAATCAACAATATCTGCCACAGTATTATTTACTGAATCTTCCATGTGCCAAGCTCTACACTGAGATCTTTATATAAATTATTTCATTTACTCCTCACATTTAATACAATAAGGCTTTTTAAAATTAGTATTTTTTTTAAAACAGATAAGGAGATAGTGGCACAAAAAAATGTAGACAACACAATTCAGCTACAAGGTGGTGAAAGTGCATTTCAAAACCAGATATTTTAAACCTAGAGCTTAGAGCTTAGCATTGTTGGGTTGATGGGAAAAAGTTACACACACACACACACACACACACACACACACACTCATAGGACCTCTGGAAAATTATCTTATACCTATGAGCTATTATTGTGGCTAGAACATAGCGTGTGAGATCACATGCTTTACCCTTCCTCTGAAATTTCACCCCACAACTCTGGCACTCAACATTTTACAAGTGCTTCTGTTAAACACTATACATATGTAAAACATTCTCCCACTCCCCACCTTGACTGGGTTTCTTGGGTTAGAGATTATATTTTATATTTCTTAATGTTCTCCTCTCCATCAGTGCCTTGCTCTTACTCAACCAAAAAGTGAATGCTGCCAGTAAAAGCAACCAGAGTAAGTTTTTAAATTCAAAAGACCTGAAGTCCTGCTTTCCTAGGCATAGGGTCTGCTCCTTAGCAGCTTCAAAGGGGGCTGTACTGGAGCAAGAAGGAACCGTAGGCAGGGGATTCATGGCTGGAGACAGACTTCACAGATACCCTCTATTCTCAGCTAATTAGTGTCTTCAACTCCTCTCTTGCTCATCTTCTTAGATTCCTCTCATTGTTGCTTTGAGACTTTAAAATCGGAAAAATACTGTATTTCCTATTATAAACAGTATAATAGGAACACATAACATCAATGTCCTGGCCTAAGGCCTATGAGGCTTGGAATGTGTATGATCACCAAACATCAATAATTTAAGATCTATTCCAGTATAGAATACTGCAAGTATATCATGCTATGCTGTAAATATAAGACATTTATAACTACAGCTCTCAGAGCTCTAAGCATGTGCCTAGACCTAAAACAGATCCAGCAGTGGGTCCACTTAAAAAAAATCAGATAGTATCTTTGTGTCTCTGTTTTTCATTAAACATTATGCTTGAGACTAATTTAAGCTCAGTCAGTGTCACAGAGTTAATACTATTTATTTGCCCAAAGTTACTTTAAAAAAATCCATTTCTACAGAGGTCCATCAGCATTGCCACTTTGCATTGGAACCTGTGGTCAAGCAATTAGTAACAGTTCTCAGTTGGTGTCCTTGTCTTAATGATCCACAAGTACAGAGAACTTTAGTGAGGAGGCTCCAGAAAGAATTCTGCTCTTGGATAGTAACTTGACAATCAAACCTGAGAATTATTAGGAAAGAGAATAGCCAAAGCAGAAAGGAAATGGGACAGCTTTGTATTGTAATTAAAATACAGGAATCAGATACATGTGGATTTGAATCCTAATACATATGCACTAGCTGTGTGAATTGGGGAAAGTTACTTAATCTCTTGAGTCTCATAGTTTTCATCTGTAAAACAGGAAGGATATGATAGAAATATCTGATAGAAGGGACTTTAAATGAACGTATGCAGTGCCTGTTTAGGCACCATGGTTAGGCATTCTATAAATGACACTGTTATTTACATGAGACACACAGGGCAAAAGAATTAACAGAGCATATTGTTTATCATAGGAATCATATCCCAGAGGGGCCAGTAGAACCAGGGAAAGGCTTTTCTTACTAAAGATGCTTTCCTCCAAGCTCACTTTACCTTATGCCTTGCTGTTCTGCCTCCTCGACTAGAGTGGCTATTCTGAAATATCCATGTGCTGGCTCCATACTATCCTACCAATAGCTATTTGTCACAGCCATCATGCCCACTAGCTCTGTGAAACTTTTGTTTCCAAGGTAAAAGAACAATTCCAGCCATGATTTTTTTTTTCCACTGTTGGTTAAATGGATCAGAAGGATCAGCTGCATATCTCTCCCACAAATAAGACCAGCACATTGCCTATTGGAAGGAGATCAGTATATTTGAAGGAGTCAGAGCCTCTCAGGTCTGCTTTTAAGAAAACAAAGTGTTTTCTACTATTATAAGTAGCCCCTGAACAAACAGTCTTACCTGCTAACAATGCAGGTTGAATAGATTGGCTATAAGTTGGTGTAGGGGTGTTTTCTGTGATCCTCGTAAGTTTGTGGGTGTTTCTGTGATCCTCTTAAATTTGTAGTTGGGACTGACTCCTGTAACAAAAGACAGATTAACAGGAGAAAAACAAGTAGGTTTACAAATACATGCAGTGCACTTCATACAGAAGAAACTTCAATGAAAGGTGACTCAAAGCACTGGCTTAAAAACCTGGCTTATATAAGACCTTCAGCAAAGAACAATAAATTTTAGAGAAGTAACAGGACAAAGGAAAACAGTTTAAGGCTTCCAGAGGTGGGAAACTGTGGGAAGGTAAATTTATGAAAATAAACTAATAGAGCAAGGCTTGTTTGCATATTCCTCTGGTGCCATCTCTGGGCTGATAAGAACTGTCTCCAGTAAAAGATAATTTATATCCTGTCTTCAGGCAGAAAAGGAGGATAGAGAGAGCTTCTCTCCCTTTGCTGCTTCTTAACTGCCTTTAGTTAAAAAATTAGAGGTTACCTTCTCTATGTTAAAGAGGTATATTTTGGGGTGACATATTCTAATTTCCTTCACTGGGACTGAAGTCCCTAAGCCTAGCACAATGGGACTGAATAGAGCAAGGTGAAACTGTCTGATGAAATAAGATCATGCTGTATTCTGTTTCATTGGTTGATGTATCTGTTTTTGTACCAACACAATGCAGTTTTGGTTACTGTAGCCCTGTAGTATAGTTTGAAGTTGGGTAATGTGATGCCTCCAGCTTTGTTCTTTTTGCTTAGGATTGCCTTGGCTATTCAGCCCCTTTATTGGTTCTATATGAATTTTAAAATAGTTTTCTCTAGTTCTTTGAAGAATGTCAATAGTAATTTAATAGAAATAGCATTGAATCTATAAATTTTTTGGGCAGTATGGCCATTTTCATGATACTGATTCTTTCTATCCATGAGCAGGGGATGTTTTTCCATTTGTTTTTGTCATCTCTGATTTCTTTGAGCAGTGGTTTGTAGTTCTCCTTGTAGAAATCTTTCACCTCCCTAGTTGTCTGTATTCCTAGATATTTTATTCTTTTGTGGGAATTGTGAATGGGAGTTCATTCCAGATTTGGTTCTCAGCTTGACTGTTGTTCGTGTTCTATTATAAAGATACATGCACATGTATGTTCACTGCAGCACTACTCATAATAGCAAAGACATGGAGTCAACCTTAGTGTCCATCAATAATAGACCTGATAAAGATAATGTGTTACATAGACACCATGGCATACTATGCAGCCATAAAGAAGAATGAGATCATGTCCTTTACAGGAACATGGATGGAGCTGGAGGCCATTATCCTTAGCAAACCAACACAGGAACAGAAAACCAAATATCACATGTTCTCACTTATAAGTGGGAGCTAAATGATGAAAACACATGGACACATAGACAGAAACAACACACACTGGGGCCTTTTGTGGGGGAGGGTGGGAAAAGGGAGAGGATCAGGAAAAATAACTAATGGGTACTAGGGCTAATATCTGGAATAATCTGTACAACAAACCCCCGTGACACAAGTTTATCTATGTAACAAACCTGCACTTGTACCACTGAACTTAAAAGTTTTCTTAAAAAAAAAAAGATCTTTCATAGATATAAAACAACAACTCAAATTTTACTGTCAAGCAGAATGCTGTTCAGCCTAATGATTTTTGTTTCAAACTCTCCTCCTTGGCTGTTTGAAATAGACTATACATTTTCTCTGTGGTGATCTCAGCCTACACCGATTCAAATACAATATGATATGGTTTGTCTTAGTTTTCCTTGTTAGAGGATACATCTGCATGCTGACTTCTTTCACCAAATAGCTGTTGCATGAGACAAGTGTGTAAGATCTATCAGTGCATTTCATTAGGAGTAAAAGCTCACAGATGAGATTCAGCAAAGTGATTTTAAATCTAAAGCGTTTACCTCTCAAACTCACCTGGCTATTGCACCATGGAGAAGATGGGGGAGGGAGGAGGCAGAGTTTCTATTTCTGTAGAAAAATGGTAAATAGGCAGCTAGGAAGTCATAACCCTGATAAGTATTGAAGCACAGTGGATATTTATCTTTGAAAGAAAAACCAATTTTATTTGTTTTACATAATAATGGATTCAGAGAAGTTTCTAAAACAGAAAAATTAGTTAACTGATCAAGGCTTAGTTCTGAATATTTTGATAGTTTGAGTATACACAGAATGGAAGCTGACTCTGGATGTCCTATATGCTTTCCAAAGAATGTCTCAATATGTCAATTTTCTTTCATTGTGGAAGAAAAGAAAACAAAACAGCCACAATTTTCTCAGAGCAAATGGAAAGTATTATCTCTTTTCTGCAAACTAATAGGCCAGCATTCCTATTACATAATGAAGTCATAATTTTAAAAAGACCTTTATTTCCATGCGTTATAAGGAAAATTGTATTTTTCCTCACAATTGTGCAGCACTCCAACAACAACCAAAAAAGCCACCCACTAAGGTTAAAGATCGTTCCAGACATCTAATTTCTCAAGACATAGATTTTCTGTAGCCAAAAATTAGATGAACTCCCAGATCAGGAAGAAAGCTTTCCAAAGCCCCGTCTTTAGTTGAGTTGACTTGCCCAGCATGACATATTAGGTTGATCCAATCATTTTAAAGTAACAAATCCTCTCTTAAAGAGAAGGTAACCTCTGATATCATTAGAGACCCCAGTGTTCCTTTGGTTGTTACACTCTTTTCTTTTATTCTGATCTGTAATCTGTTAACCAGTGGGAAGTCGGGAGAACAAAGACATCTCAGACACTGTATATCAATCAAGGAATCAGCTGTACTACAATGACAACTCAGCTGGCGGCTTTGAAAGTTTATACCATGAGCCAGCATAAAATGTAATCATCTCAGAAGTCAGAGCATATTATGGGATAGAAAGCTTTTCTTTAGAGCCTGAGAAGATCAGCAGGAAAATATTTTATCGACATGGTATTGATGATGGTAACATAGATAAAAATCTTCAACCATTTCAAAAATTGTTTTAATAAACAATTCAGGAAAAATGATGGCCTTATATAACATTTCCATGGGGGGCACAGTCTTAAAGGGTGATGGTGAAATTTAGAACAAAGAGCAGCAGGAATTTTCCTATGACAGCATTTGTACATCCTTTCTAGTATAAGACCTGACTAGCACTACAGAACTGAAATAACACTGCAAAAGAAACACATTTTTTAAGGCCAAAAGGACTTTTAAAAATAAACATTTTCTTTTTTCATTCTTGACAATCCATTGAGACTATTTCTCTCTCTGTTATTGGCCTCACCCAGTAAGTGAATATTGTGGCATTCTAAAGTTCTAGAATCAAGCATGTTGGAGTTCACTGAGATTAGCACTGATCTTTTGACACTAGCTGGCCATTTGATGAGAGAAAAGCATTCTTAAGTGAGCTACGTGCCAAGTACAAAGGCAGAAAGTTGATTACATTGTCTTACTCTCTCAAGCTCCGGTTCCCTTCTATTATGCAAGAAGTTCCAGTATTCCAGCACATTCTTGCTTGTGAAGCTTTGAGGTTCTTATCGCTCAGCATAATGTAGAAACTAATATGGTTTATTTAAATTTTTGCCTGTTTTGTCCGTTCTCTGAAGCAAACAGTTTTTTTCCCAATATCTCCCTTCTAGGTCTATTTCAATCATGGCTGTTGTCAATATTAATGTCATCATTTACCCTTACCAAACATTAATTACATGGCATGTGCTGTGCTAAATACTTTCCATACATAATTTTATTTAGTCCCAACAACCATCTTGTGAGGAAGGCAATATCTCTACATTATGTAAAATAGAATTTAGGCTTGCCTAAGATCATCCTGTTAGCAAGTCACAGAGCTGAAATATGAACCTAGTTTTCCTGAACTCGAAGCCCATCTGTCAGGTTTTATACTATACCATTTACCAAAGCTGAGCTTAAACCCTTCTTGCAACTTTAATCCATTTCCTTATTAGAGTTTTGCACTGTAATGTCCAAAATCTCTCATGCAATACCAGGAAAAGGAAAACTCTGGTCCACTTTTGGCTTACAAGACTGGGGAGAGCTAGTAATTGCAATAATCTAAAAATTATCTTAAAAACAAAAGCATATTGAAAACCTCACCCCCACACTATGTTCCAACTGTACTAAACCACTTGTTATGCTAACTGGGTCCTGCTTTACACTTGCTTGCCTATTTGCCTGTAATTTCCTTTTTAAAATTTGCAAAATGTCCGGCCTTTCCTTATTTCAATACCTAATGTGCATTTTCAACAGTATATTTATTATCAGTGTCACAGAGATTTGCTCCCTCCAAAGCCCGCTGAAAAATGTAGGCTTCTTGCACATGTTAACAACCTGTGTTGGGGTTTTTTTGTCTCTGTGTTTAATGCTGAAGCCTCTTTCTTTGGGACACTTCAAACTCTGATCCATAGCCACGTGAACGACCCCTCTGCTTTCTGCTGCAAACAGGAGAAAGTGCTGCAAATAAAAAAATTCTTTAAAGTCCATCTTATAGTGTGAGCTTAAAACACCTTTCTTCCTACTTACACTATCTTCCTCCTCAAATGAATAAAGATATAAACACCGTCACAATTTCTACGTTATATGCTCTCATTATTTAACTATGTTATACTGCACTTCAGGCTGGGCATGGTGGCTCACGCCTGGAATCCCAACACTTTGGGAAGCCAAGGTGGGACCCAGGAGCTTGACACCAGCCTGAACAACATAGGGAGATCCCGTCTCTAAAAATAACAATAAAAAACTTAGCCAGGAGTGATGGTGCACACCTGTGGTCCCAGCTACTCAGGAGGCAGAGTTAGGAGGATCACCTGACCCTTGGGGGAAGGACCGAGGCTACAGAGAGCCATGATTGGGCCACTGCACTCCAGCCTAGGTGACAGAGTGAGACTCTCTCTCTCTCTATCTCTCTGTGTGTGTGTGATAGATAAACACACACACATACACACATATATAATACATATATATATACATACACACATATACACTGCACTTCCAAATCAAAAAATAATTTTATTGACTCATAACTCTTAAATTTGAAGAGGATCCCAGATTGTCTTCCATCTTTTTGCACAGAATTACAAGAGATATTTTGGACATCATGTGAAGCTTTGAATAGAGAAATAAAAATGAGTGCTGGCACTCTTCTATACAGATGTCTGTACCTTTGGGGCTCCGATGTCTCCTTACTCCTAGGTAGTTAGGGGGTTACTTAGAGGTTATTGGGGAGAATTTCTGAGTGGCTTCGTTATGCAGATTACAATAATAGCAACTGGTGGGGGAAAAAAAAGAAAGAAAAGCCAAGATTCCTCTATTCAAGAAACTGATGTATTTTTGCTACAGATATTCTAATCGTATCAATGATGGAAGATAACACTGAGGGCTTGCAAGGCAAGAGGCTCTGTGTTACATATTCATTCTCTCACTTAACCTTCATGATAACCCTATGGAGAGAAATAATTACTAGCTTTTGTTCAAATTTGAGTTGACAGGCACAGAAAGGTTAAAGAGTGTACTCATAGTATCACAACCAGTGAAAGTACAACATCCAGGTTTGGAGCCCATGCTCTTGACACTAGACTATCCTAGAACTTCAGAAATGTTACTGAAATAAACCTCTCCTGCTTCCAAACAAAGAAACACAAGAAAAGTTCATCAGAAGAGAACTTAATGAGAAAAGCAGGACCCTAGACTAAACAAAATACCATTTTCTTAGTGTTTCAATTGATGTCATCTAATTTATTCATTCAAAAAGCATTTATTGTGCTTACTTAATATGTGCCAGGAACTGTTCTAGGTGGTAATCTATCAGTGGATAAAACAGACAAAAAATCCTCACCTTCTTGTGTTGAAATCAGACAATAATAATAAGTATGCAAGCTAGATAATAATGGGCAGAGACAGCAGAAGAAGAAAAGTGGAGTAGGGAACCCCAGGGTGGGAGGGTTGTTCAAGAGATTAGGGGGACAAGGAAAAATCTGAATGAAGACCGAGAAGGTGTGGTCAGGGAAGTAGGAGGAAATCCAGAAGAGTTTGGTGTCCTAGAAGCCAAGTGAAAAGTGGTTTCTAAGGAAGAAAGAGTAATCAACTATATCACATGCTGTGTGGTGTCCTTATGTGTCATTTCGGAAGAGCTATGTTGGGAAAAACCTGAGTGGAGTAGGCTCAAGAGGAAATGGAAGAGACGAATTGGAGGCAGCTAGGGTGACTATAAAAAAATATCACAGACTGCTGGGTTAAAAGAACAGAAATATATTTCCTCTCCATTGTGGAGGCTTAAAGTCCAAAGATCAAGGTGTTGGCAGGTCCGGTTTCTCCTGAGGACTTTCTCCTTGGCTTGCAGGGGGCTGCCTTCTCATGGTATCTTCATGTGGTCTTTCCTCTGTGCCCGTTCCCCTAGTGTCTCTCTGTGGGTTCAAATTTCCTCTTCTTTAAGGACACTAGTCAGATTTGATTAGGGCCCCCCCAGTGGCCTTGCTTTAACTTAATCAAGGCCCTATCTCCAAACGTAGTCACGTTCTGTGGTACGAGGGAGTCAGGGATTCCATATATGAATTTAGAGGGGATACAGAATTCAGCACAAAACACAGCACATGCGGACAACTTTTTAAATGAGATGAGCAGAACAGGGGGTCAGAAAACTGGGATGGTAATTGAGTGCAGTCAATAAAGAGATTTCTATTTTATTTTATTATTATATATATTTTTTGAGTTGGAGTCTTGCTCTGTCACCTAGGCTGGAGTGCAGTGGCACAATCTCAGCTCACTGAAACCTCTGCCTCCAGGTAAGTAACTCTCCTACCTCAGCCTGCCTCCTGAGTAGCTGGGATTACAGGTGCCTGCTACCACGCCCAGCTAATTTTTATTTCACCATGTTGGCCAGGCTGGTCTTGACCTCCTGACCTCGTGATCTGCCTGCCTCAGCCTCCCAAAGTGCTAGGATTATAAAGGCGTAAGCCACCACACCTGGCCTATTGCTTTTTTAAATGAAAGAAATGACTGCGTTATGTTGTGTGCTGCTGCAGTTGATCTGGTAAGGTGGAACAATTACTTAGTGTCACAAAAGAGGATGTTATATGTAACACAATTATACATTCTGCTTAGTTTGCTTCATAGATTCCTGTATAAGTTATGCTTTTAGGAACTTTCTTCAGAATATATTCTTCCAAATTCTACTTTCAAAGAATGTCAGTGGGATAGAGTGCTGGTTTCACAAATATTTGGAAAATAGAACTATTCACTGTGTTAGAAGTGACTAATGACAGTTGTCGACAATAAATGATTATTACCACAGGGGGCCGCTTGTCTCTTTGTGCATTTGGATAAGGAAAGGCTGACCTGGAGACCCTTAGAGGTTATGGAAACACTCCCCCCTGAGGGATAAGACTCCTGGGAAATGAGGTGATTACAGAGTGGGCTGACTAACAGTGAGTTGCCCACCAGCCTCTGGGGAATGGGAATGTGCTTGCAGCGAGATACTCCATGGAAGCATTGCACTCTCTAGTCCCATGGTGTTTCTCTACTTTTGGGACCCAGAGTTTAATGTAAAAATGGGATCCCTGATTTTGAGGGACCTGTGTTCTACCTTCCACCTGTGCCTGCTTTTCACATTTAAATTTTTAGCACTATAAACTGCATACTTTCTTTCTTCTCATGAAAGGGCTCCACCTGGAAGCCAATAATGTAATTAAGATATAAGCTAAGTTAAAAAGCCAAAATACAACTTTCTGACATTTATCTGGCTATTATGAACCTCTTTTGTAAAATCAATTTACATCTATAAACAAAAATCTCCATTTGTGAGAGCATTCTCCCTCTGTGCACCTAAACCTCTACAAACTTTTAGGATGGAGAAGAAAATGGCCTAAAGTTTACATAACAAAGCTTACCTTTGTTTATATCTAAGTTCTGTGCCTTTGTCCTGGGTTCTGCATCTTTAAAAGTATTTAGCGTCTAAGTTTTTCACTAAAAACAAGGGTTACTAACAGTTAACACTGTAACTAATGTATATAATTAAAAGCACTAGATATAAGACAAACAATTCTATATACAAAGTGTATAAGAAAAGCAGGATGTGTTTTTGATTTGAAAAGATTATAAGAAGATATGATAATGATGTGATTTTTGTTAAAGGAAAAGCATTTTTGCCTAAGTTAGAGGCTTTAAGTGTTGTTTTAAATGAATTAAAAGGAATGATAAATAAAACAATGTATAGAAAGCTGAAAAAAGAGAATGGAAAATATTGTAAAGCGTTATGAAAGGTTTATAGTAATCTTACCTTGTGTATTAGTTCATTTTTATACTGCTATAAAGAACTACCTGAAACTGGGTAATTTACAAAGGAAAGAAGTTTAATTGACTCACAGTTCAGCATGACTAGGGAGGCCTCAGTAAACTGACAATCATGGCAGACGGTGAAAGGGAAGCAAGGCATTTTGCTCACAGGCAGCAGGAAGAAGTGCTGAGTGAAGCAGGAAGCACCCCTTATAAAACAACCATATTACCTCGTATTCAAACTGATTAAGAATGTATTTGTTTATTAGGTTTTATTACAATTAACTTTAGAATTATAATACATGAATGTAAAAGTGAAATTTAGGTTTCTCTTTGGAAAGAGATTTCCATGTAATAATAATAAGAAATAAAATATTTTTGTTTACTTTTTGAGTAAGCTACAAACAAAAAGAGGGAAAGAGGAAGAGATTGATTCAGTTTGCCTTCTGATGTATTTTGATTGTTTGGGAAACCAAGTCTTCTCTCTATAAAAGAGTAAAGGATTTTGCTTTTTGAAATCTTTGAATTATCACATTGGCTAAATGAATGACTTATTTTACAGTGACCTGTGAAACTATTTTGTGATATCAAGTTTTTAGACCTTTGATATTTGACAAATTTTCCAAAATTGTATTTCAAATTATAAATTTAATCTTTTTTACCTCAAATTAACAGTTTGGATATTAGGGCCCGTGAAAGTCCAAAAGAGATATAAACAGCCTATTAAAATTATACAAGAAGCATTGCCAAATATAAAGTGATGTTTAACTTTCTGTGGGTTATGTTTATAAAAACATGTTTTTACCATGTGTCCCACAGTTGCATGAAATTCCTAAAATTCTGATGTCGTACTATAGGTTAGGATTAATAATTATGATTATTATGGTAAATTGTTGTGTGTCCCAGAAATAACCCAATTTCCTTGTCAATTTTGTCTTTAATTATGATTGTTCTAAGACTAATGTCGTTCAAAGCAATTATTGTTTTACTTTGATTCTTCTCAAAAAATAGATTATAATCAGCCACAGTCAAAAATTTGCTTTTTTAAAGAAAATCATAGAAAGGACTCTGACAAGTTCTGTTGAGTACAGTTTTCTGATAATTTTGGAGATTATACCTTTGGGCTTGGAAAAAATCTTCCAAGACTTTAATCAAAAAGCTGGTTTGTTCATGGGGATTCCTAACCCAACATCAAGCAGAACAACAGTTAATTACATGAGATTGAAATAATAGAGAACTAAACTTTTCTTTTACTTTTAAAATGTGAAACATACTGATTCTTTTTATATTTTATTTTCCAGAGTCATGAATTTTTTTCTGTTGGGCTACTTATAACTTACAACAAATTGGGCAAAGTATACTTACTCTTGCAAGGAAAATTTAAAGCATATCTTTTTCTCTCCATCTGATTTCTCCAGAATAAAATATTTTTGAGTATTTTTTTCAACTTTGACTTTAGATTCAGGGGTTACATGTGCATGTTTCTTACCTGAGCAACCCTGAGGTTTGGGGTACACATGATCCCATCACCCAGGTGTGAATATTCTTAATTTATGGCATTAGAGTTATTTGAATAAGTTCAATAAGTATTTGTTCTCTTTTAAAACAGGACACAATAGAAAACACTGGTTATTTTACCAAGGCTTTGGCTGAAATGTCATATTTTCAGATATGACCAGACTACTTTTAAGAATTAAGGTTGACTTTATAGAGGTGAGAAAAGGATTCTTGAAAAGACTGCTCTGATACTTCCTTTATATAATATAATTTCTTTACAAAATTCCTGTAGTAAGTAAAGAAATGCCACTTTCTGACAGGCCCAGGAACACCAAGTTATTTTAGAACATCAAAAAGAGAGGAATTTACCAATTTCATACAGGTATCTGCAGGCATAGATAAATTTTTGGCTTGGCTCAAGAGGCTTTTAAAAGTCTAACTTAAAATTCTTTATGAAAAAAAGTACAGCAAAGCCAATTTTAAAAGAGCCTGTATAGCCAATAACTATTATTTGTGCACACTACTATAAAAATAATCACACCAAGTATAATAAGACTAAAATAAATTTTTCAAATAAGTTGTTCCTATTGTGACTGGTCTTTGGTAGAAATGGGAAGGAGGAGAGGGAAAATTATGTTTCTAAAGAAAACTGTAGAGGGGTGGGGTTAAGATGGCCAACTAGAAGCAGCAGCAGTTGGAAGCTCCCACCAAGAAGAACAAAAACAGCATGTGAATCCTGCACTGGCAACCAAGGTGATATGGTTTGGCTGTGTCCCCACCCAAATCTCATCTTGCATTGTAACTCCCACAATTCCCATGTGTTGTAGGAGGGACCTGGAGGGAGATAATTGACTCATGGGGATGGGTCTTTCCTGTGCTGTTCTCATGATAGTGAATAAGTCTCACAAGATATGATGGTTTTAACAATGGGATTTTCCCTGCACAAGCTTTCTTCTCCGGTCTGCCACCATGTGAGACGTGCCTTTCACCTTCCACCATGATTGTGAGGCCTCCCCAGCCAGGTGGAACTGTGAGTCCAATAAACCTCTCTGTTTTGTAAATTGCCCAGTCTCAGATATGTCTTTATTAGCAGCATGAAAATGGACTAATACAGTAAATTGGTACCAGTAGAATGGGGCACACCACTGGAAAGATACCCGAAAATGTGGCAGCAACTTTGGAACAGGGTAACAGCCAGGAGTTGGAACAGTTTGGAGAGTTCAGAAGAAGACAGGAAAATGTGGGAAACTGGAAATTCCTACATACTTGTTGAATGGCTTTGCACAAAATGCTGATAGCAATACGGACAATAAAATTCAGTCTGAGGTGGTCTCAGATGGAAAGGAGAAACTTACTGAAACCTGGAACAAAGGTGACTCCTGTTATGTTTTAGCAAAGAGACTCTCAGCATTTTGCCCCTGCCTTAGAGATTTGTGGAACTTTGAACTTGAGAGAGATGATTTAGGGTTATCTGACAGAAGAAATTTCTAAGCAGCAAAGTATTTAAGAAGTGACAGGTGCTGTTAAAGACATTCATTTTTATAAGGGAAGCAGAGCATAAAAATTCAGAACACTTGCAGCATGACAATGCAGTAGAAAAGAAAATCCCATTTTCTGAGAAGAAATCCAAGCTAGCTGCAGAAATTTGCATAAATAATGAGGAGCCAAATACTAATCCCCAAGACAATTGGGAAAATGTCTCCAGGGAATGTCAGAGGCCTTCCTGGCAGCCCCTCCCAGAGGCTAGGAGGAAACAGTGGTTTTATGTGCCAGGCCCAGGGTCCCCATGCTGTGTGCAGCATAGGGACTAGGTGTCCTACATCCCAGTCGCTCCAGCCATGGCTAAAAGGGGCCAAAGGAGAGCTTGGGCCATGGCTTCAAAGGGTGCAAGCCCCAAGCCTTGGCAGTTTCCATGTGGTATTGAGCATGCAAGTACATAGAAGTCAAGAATTGAGGTTTGGGAACCTCCGCCTAGATTTCAGAAGACTTACAGAGACTCCTGGATGCCCAGGCAGAAGTTTGCTGCAGCAGCGGGGCTCTCATGGAGAACCTCTACTAGGGCAGTGTGGAAGGGAAATTTGGGGTTGAAGCTACCACACAGAGTCCCTACTGGGGCACCACCTAGTGGAGGCATGAAAAGAGGGCCACTATCCTCCAGACCCCAGAATGGTAGATTCACCAACAATTTGTACCATGCACCTGGAAAAGCCACAGACACTGACACTCAATGCCAGCCCATGAAAGCAGCCAGGAGGGAAGCTGTACCCTGCAAAGCCAAAGGGTCAGAGCTGCCCAAGACCATGGGAACCCACCTCTTACATCAATGTGACCTAGATGCAAGACATGCAGTCAAAGGAGATCATTTTGGAGCCTTAAGATTTTGCTGCCCTGCTGGATTTCAGATTTGCATGGGACCTGTAGCCTCTTTGTTTTGGCCAATTTCTCCCATTTGGAATGCCTGTATTTACCCAATGCCTGTACCCCCATTGTATCCAGGAAGTAGCTAACTTGCTTTTGATTTTACAGGCTCGTAGATGGAAGTAACGTGCCTTATCTTGGATGAGACTTTGGACTGTGGACTTTTGAGTTAATGCTGAAATGAGTTAAGACTTTGGGAGACTGTTGGGAAGGCATTACTGGTTTTGAAATGTGAGGACATGAGGAGTCAGGGGTGAAATAATACAGTTTGGCTGTGTCACCACCCAAATCTCATTCCCATAATTCCCAAATGTTGTGAAAAAACCTGTTGGGAGGTAAATTGAATCATGGAGGTGGGTCTTTCCCTTGCTGTTCTTGTGATAGTGAATAAGTCTCATATGATCTGATGGTTTTAAAAATGGGAGTTTCCCTGCACAAGCTCTCTTCTCTCATCTGCTTCCATGTGAGATGTACATTTCACCTTCCACCATGATTGTGAGGCCTCCCCAGGCACGTAAAACTGTGAGTCCAATAAACCTCTGTGTGTGTGTGTGTGTGTGTGTGTGTGTGTGTGTATGTGTGTGTAAATTGCCCAGTCTTGGGTATGTCTTCATCAGCAGCATGAAAATGGACTAATACACAAGGTATCCTGGTTCTATCATCAGAACTGACTAGGCAGTTGGCATTACCCTCGGAGAGCAAGGAAAAGCAGGGTGGTGCATTGGCCCACCTGAGAGCCACATGGGGCAGGGGAACCCCCACCCCCAGCCAAGGAAGGGGGTGAATGAGCATGCTACTCAGCCTGGGAAAGGGTGCTTTTTCCATGGAACCATGCAACCTACAGATCAGAAGATCCCACTCGGGAGCCCATACCACCAGGTCCTTGGGCCCCAACCACAGAGCCATGCAGGTTCTCATCAGCCACTTAGCTGGAGTTTGCCTAAGACCATCAAGTTCCTAAAGGGAGGGACAGCTGTCATTACTGCTGCTGCCTGCTGTCTAAGCCATCTGAGCTCCCTAGAGAAAGGGTAGCAGTCATCATCATGGCTGCCTAAGACAACTGAGCTCCCTGAGGGAGGGGCAGCCAGCATCACTGCAGCTGTCGACTGCCTAAGAAAACTGAGTTCCCCAGAAGAGAGATGGCAACCATCATGGCGGCTGCTAACTGCCTAAAACACTGAACTCCCGGGGGGAAGGGCAGCAGCAATCACTATAGCTCCAGGCTGCATTGTTCCCCTGCTGGAACTGGGAAAATTAGATGGCTTGGTCCCAGTAGGTATTCCCCACAGCACAGCACACCAGCTGTAGCAGACCATGGCCAGACTGCCTCTTTAGGCCAGACACTGACCCATCCTTCCTCACTGGGCTGGGCCTCCCTGAAGCAACTCCAGCAACTCCAGCCAGGTGCTTAGGGACAGAACTCTGATGTCCCTGGGTCTGAACCCCTAAGGGGTAGGGTGGTCATAGTCTCCATGGATCAGCAGGCTTAGCCTTTTGCCTTGCTAGCTCTGAGGAATCCAAGCAGGCCAGATGAGTGGCTTTCCCCCCAGCACAACACACCCCCTCCACCAACAGATAGCCAAAGTGCTTTGTTAAATGGGTCTTGATTCCCATGCCCCTCAACTGGGTGAGACCCCCCACAACAGGGGCGACCAGACACCCTATACAGGAGCGTTCCTAGTCAGGTCAGTGCCCCTTGAGGTCAGAGATCACAGAGGAAGGAGCAGGCACCCATCCTTTGCTTTTTTCCAGCCTCCTCGTGTGACATCCCCAGGTGCAGTGGTGCCCCAGATGAATAGGACCTGAAGTGAATCCCCAAAAAACTTCAACAGCCCTACAGAAGAGGAACCTGACTACTGAAAGTAAAGCAAACAAACAGAAAGCCTCAACAGCAATCAACAAAAAGTCCCCACGAAAACCTCATCAAAGCAGCCTCAAAGATCAAAACTAGACAAACTCATGAAGATAAAAAGAATCAATGAAAAAAACACTGAAAACTCACAAGGCTAGAGTGCCTCTTCTCCTCCAAATGATCATAATATCTCTCCAGCAAAGGAACAAAACTGGACAGAGAAGGAAATGGACGAATTGACAGAAGTAGCTTCAGAAGGTGGGTAATAACAAAGTGCTGAGGTAAAGGAGCATGTTCTAACCCAATGCAAAGAAGCTAAGAACCATGACGAAAGGTTACTGTAAGTCCTTACTAGCATAACCAGTTTAGAGAGGAACATAAATGACCTGAGAAACACAGCATGAGAACTTCGTGATGCATACACAAGTATCAATAGCTGAATCAATCAAGTGGAAGAAAGAACATCAGAGCTTGAAGACTATCTCATTGAAATAAGCTAGGGAGACAGGAATAGAGAAAAAAGAATGAAACGGAATGAACAAAACATCCGAGAACTATGGGACTCTGTAAAATGACCAAACCCATGACTGATTGGAGTACCTGAAAGAGATGAGGAGAATGAAACCAAGTTGGAAAACACACTTCAGCATACCATCCAGGAGAAATTCCCCAACCTAGCAATACAGACCAACATTCAAATTCAGCAAATATGGAGAACCCCAGTAAGATACTCCATAAGAAGATCAACCCCAAGACACATAATCTTCAGATTCTCTAAGATTGAAATGAAGGAAAAAATGTTAAGAACATCCAGAGAGAAAGGCCAGGTCACCTACAAAGGGAAGCCCATCAGACTAACAGTAGAACTCCAGTAGAAGCCCTACAAGCCAGAAGAGATTGGGGGCCAATATTCAACATTCTTAAAGAAAAGAATTTTCAACCCAGAATTTCATATCCAGCCAAACTGAGCTTCATAAACAAAGGAGAAATAAAATCCTTTTCAGACAAGCAAATGCTGAGGGATTTCATCACCACCAGGCCTGCCTTGCAAGAACTCCTGAAGAAAGCACTAAATATAGAAAGGAAAAACTAGTACCAACCACTGCAAAAACACACTGAAATACAAATACCAATGACACTATGAAGAAACCATATCAACTAGTGTGCCAAATAACCAGATAGAATCATGATGACAGAATCAAATTCACACATAACAATATTAAACTCAAATGTAAATGGGCTAAGTGCCCCAATTAAAAGACACAGACTGGCCAAATAAGTAAAAAGTCAAGACTCATGAGTGTGCTGTATTCAAGAGACCCATCTCAAAGACACACATAGGCTCAAATTAAAGGGATGGAGGAAAATGTACTAAGCAAATGGAAAGCAGAAAAAAGCAGGGGTTGCAATCCTTATCTCTGACAAAATAGACTTTAAACCAACAAAGATAAAAAAAGACAAAGAAGGGCATTACATAATGGTAAAGGGTTCAAATAAACAAGAAGAGCTAACTATACTAAATATATATGCACCCATTGCAAGAACACCCAGATCCATGAAACAAGTTCATAGAGATCTACAAAGATACTTAGACTGACATACAATAATAGTGGAAGACTTTAACACCCCACTGTCAATATTAAACAGATCATTGAGAAAGAAAATTAACAAGGATATTTAGGACTTGAACTCAGCTCTGGATTAAGTGGACCTGATAGATATCTAGAGAACTCTCCACCCGAAAACAACAGAATAAACATTCTTCTCACACTTACTCTAAAATCAATCACATATTGGAAGTAAAACACTCCTCAGCAAATACAAAAAATACTGAAATCATAACAGTTTTTCAGACTACAGCACAATTGAATTAGAACTCAAGATTAAGAAATTCACTCAAAACCACACAATTACATGGACATTGAACAACCTGCTCCCAAATAAATCCTGGGTAAATAATGAAATTAAGGCAGAAATCAAGAAGTTCTATGAAAGGAATAAGAACAAAGTGAAAATGTACCAGAATCTCTGGGACGCAGCAAAAGCAGCGTTAAGAAGGAAATTTATAGTACTAAATGCCCATATCAGAAGGCTCAAAAGATCTCAAATCAACATTCTAACATTGAAACTAAAAGATCTAGAGAAGCAAGAGCAAACAAATCTAAAAGCTAGCAGAAGACAAAAAATAACTAAGATAAGATTGGAACTGAAGGAGATAGAGACATAAAGAATCCTTCAAAAAATCAATGAATCCAGGAGCTGGTTTTTGAAAAAAAACATAATAAAGTAGATAGACTGCTAGATAGACTAAGATGAAAAGAGAGAAAAATCAAATAGACACAATAAAAAATGATAAAAGGGGTATCACCACTGACCCCACAGAAACACAAAATACTGTCAGAGAATACTATAAACACCTCTATGCAAATGAACTAGAAAATTTAGAAGAAATGGATAAATTCCTGGATAAATGGATAAATTTCTGTTATTCAGTCTCTTCCTTGAATAGACCAATAACAAATTCTGAAATTGAGGCAGTAATAAATAGCTGACCAGCCAATAAAGGCCCAGGACCAGACAGATTCACAGCCAAATTCTACCAAAGAATAAAGAGGAGCAGGTACCATTTTTTTCTGAAACAATGCCAAATGGTTGAAAAGGAAGGACTTCTCCCTAACTCATTTTCTGAGGCCAGCATCATCCTGATACCAAAATCTGGCAGAGACACACACAAAAAAGAAAAGTTCAGGCCAATATCCCTGATAAACATTGATGTGAAAATTCTCTATAAAATACTGGCAAACTGAATCCAGTGGCACATCAAAAAGCTTATCCACCATGATCAATGTGGCTTTATTGCCAGAATGCAAGACTGGTTCAACACACACAAATCAATAAGCATAATTCATCACAGAAGCAGAACCAGTGACAAAAACCACATGATTATCTCAACAGATGCAGACAACACCTTTGATAAAATTCAACATCCCTTCCTGTTAAAAACTCTCAATAAACTAGTTACTGATGGAACATATCTCAAAATAGTAAGAACCATTTATGGCAAACCCACAGCCAATATCAAACTGAATGGGCAAAAACTGGAAGCATTCCCTTTGAAAACCAGCACAAGACAAGGATGCCCTCTCTCAACATTCGTATGAAACATAGTATTGGATGTTCTGGCCAGGGCAATCAGGTAAGAGAAAGAAATAAAGGGTATTCAAATAGGAGGAGAGGAAGTCAAATTATCTCTATTTGCAAACAACATTATCCTATATCTAGGAAACCCCATCATCTCAGCCCAAAAGCTCCTTTAGCTGATAAGCAACTTCAGCAAAGTCTCAGAATACAAAATCAATGTGACAAAATCACAAGCATTTCTATACACCAACAATAGACAAGCAGAGAGATAAGTCATGAATGAACTCCCATTCACAACTGCTACAAAGAGAATAAAATGCCTAGGAATACAGCTAACAAGGGATATGAAGGACCTCTTCAAGGAGAAATATAAACCACTGACTGCTCAAGGAAATAAGAGAGGACACAAACAAATGGAAAAATATTGCATGCTCATGGATAGGAAGAATCAATATAAAAATGGCCATCCTGCCCAAAGTAATTTATAGATTCAGTGTTATTCCCATTGAACTACCATTGACATTTTTCACAGAATTTTTTTTTTAAACTATTTTAAAATTTACATGAAACTGGCCAGGCATGGTGGTTCATGCCTGTAATCCCAACACTTTGGGAGGCTAAGGTGCGTGGATCATCTGAGGTCAGAAGTTTGAGACCAGCCTGGCCAACATAGTAAACCCCATCTCTACTAAAAGTACAAAAATCAGCTGGGTGTGGTGGCATGCACCTGTAATCCCAGCTACTCAGGAGGGTGAGGCAGGAGGGTCACTTGAACCCAGGAGGGGGAGGTTGCAGTGAGCCAAGATTGTCCCACTGCACTCCAGCCTAGGTGACAAAGTGATACTCCATCTCAAAATAAACAAATAAAATAAAATAAAATTTACATGAAACCAAAAAACCCATATAGCCAAGACAATCCTAAGCAAAAAGAATGCAGCTCAGCTGGAGGCATCACGCTATCCGACTTCAAACTATACTACAATGCTACAGTATCCAAAACAGCATAGTACTGGTACCAAAATAGACAAATAAACCAATGGAACAGAATAGAGATCTCAGAAATAAGTCCACACGTCAACAACCATCTGATGCTTGACAAACCTGACAGAAAAAAATCAATGGGGAAAGTATTCCCTATTTAATAAATGGTGCTGGGAAGACTGGCTAGCCATATGCAGAAAACTGAAACTGGACTCCTTCATTGGATTTTATACAAAAATTTTAGGATGAATTAAAGACTTAAATGTACAACACAAAACCATAAAAACCCTAGAAGAAAATCTAGGCAATACAATTCAAGACATAGGCATGGGCAAAGATTTTATGATGAAATTGCCAAAAGCAATTTCAACAAAAGCAAAATTGATAAATGGGATCCAATTAAACTAAAGAGCTTCTGTACAGCAAAAAAACTATCATCGGTGTGAACCAGCAGCCTACAGAATGGGAGAGAATTTTTGCAATCTACCCATCTGACAAATGACTAATATCCAGAATTTACAGGAAACTTAAAAAAGTTTACAAGAAAAAAACAAAGAACTCCATCAAAAATTGGGCAAAGGACATGAACAGACCACTTCTCAAAAGAAGACATTTATGGGGCCAACAAACATGAAAAAAAGCTCAACATCACTGATCATTAGAGAAATGCAAGTCAAAACCACAATGACATACCATCTCATGCCAGTAAGAATGGAAATTATTAAAAAGTCAGGAAACAACAGATGCTGGCAAGGCTTTGGAGAAATAGGAATGCTTTTACATTGATGGCGGGAAAGTAAATTAGTTAAACCACTGTGGAAGACAGTGTGGCAATTCCTCAAGGATCTGGAACTAGAAATCCCATTTGACCCAGAAATCCCATTACTAGGTATGTACCCAAAGGAATATAAATCATTCTATTATAAAGATACATTCACATGTATGTTTATTGCAGCACTATTCACAATAGCAAAGACTTGGAATCAACCAAAATGCCCATCAATAATAGACTGGATAAAGAAAATGTGATACATACACACCATGGAATTCTATGCAGCCATAAAAAGGAATGAGATCATGTTTTTTGCAGGGACATGGATGAAGCTGGAAGCCATCATCCTCAGCAAACTAACACAGGAACAGAAAACCGAACACTGCATGTTCTCACTCATAAGGGGGAGCTGAACAATGAGAACACAGGGACACAGGGAGGGAAACACCACACACCAGGGTGTGTTGGGGGGAAGGAGGGAGGGAGAGCATCAGGATAAATAGCTAAGTCATGTGGGCCTTAATACCTAGGTGATGGGTTGATAGGTCCAACAAACCACCATGGCATACATTTACATATGTAACAACCTGCACATTCTGCATATATATCCTGGAACTTAATAAAATAAAAATAAAATAAAATAAAAAACTATAGTATACTTGTTATTAAATTCTAGCTTCTTCCATTGTTTTTCAGTTTTTATTATTTACTTACAATTTAGATTGAATGCTGAATTCTTTCCTGACTACAAGTCTCTAAACAGATTTTTACATTTTTATTCTGTTTTTCTCACTTGGACTTAAAGAAATTGCCACTACCTTTTTCCTAAGGCCCTGCAAGCTTACGCGCATACCTTGAAATACAGGTGGGAAAAACTTGTCAGATTGCCACTGCCTTCTTTCACTTTAACTGAAGATGCTTTGAGTCTAACATCTGGACACTTCAACTGGCTGCCCTCCAGACTCTAAGGACATGGGTTCTTAGACTGCTCTCAACATTAATTTTCGCTTTCTTCTTTTGAAAGCCTATCTTCAATGTCATGTCCTAAAATTAGACACAGCTGTTTAATGAGACTGGCCTATTCCCAGAAATGGGAGAATGGTCAAATCGGATCCTTTTCCACTTAGCAATTAACTCAGTTTTTCCCTCCACATCTACCAACTCAGTTTTTAGTGGGTAAAACTTTTCTGAAGATTCCTTTGTCTGCCTAAATTCCAGACCCACCAAAGAGAACATTTTTTTCCTCCCCTCCATGTAATAGCAGAAAAGAGGACCCAAGAATGTAACCACATCTAAACAGAACCTTTGCAAAATAATGGCTATCTCTAAGAATCATTTAACTCCAAATAAAACTATTAAGAATTTGTTTCCTGATCCAATCATTCCCCCAAGTAATCATTTATTGCCCCTCAATAGTATTCCTCTTCTCCCTCGTCCCATAACCTGTTTTACCAGAATCTAAGCCCACCTTTTTTCTATAATCTCAAGATGGTATATAAGCTTAGGTACCTTATTGTGGGGAGGTCTTCATTCTGAAGGTTCTCATGTATAAATGTTAAATAAATTCATATGCCCTTTTCCCCATTAATTAATGTGCCTCATGTCAGTGATTTTTCAGTGAGTCTTTAAGGGAACAAAGAACCTGGCCCTCACAACATCAAGATTCTGTTTCCCAGAAGGAACAAAACCAGTAAGCAGCCATCGTATTGGAATTTTGTTACTTTAATAAGATATTTTTTTCTCCAAGTGTATTTTTCACAACTAGTCTAGTAAAGATAAGTTATTTATTCTGAGGACTAAACTCTGATTATTTAATCTTGCCCAAATTCTTATCTAAAGGGTCTGGTGAGTCATGCCCTACAAATCATAAATTCTCATTAGATGGGTGATATTTAACCATGTCTATTGTGACTTACTTTCCAGCCTGACTCTAGCATAACATTAGAAGACAAGCAAGAAAATCAAAATATTTAACCCCAAAACATGGTTTTTGTTTTGTTTTGTTTTGTTTTTGTTTTTGCCATATTCTGAAATGACCCTATTCTTTGTGGGGGAAAATTTGCGTCTATAGAGAATCTCTATTAACACAGCTAGATCTTTTTCTTCCAGACCCTCCCAATCCCAAAGAGATTAACTAAGATCTGAACAGGAAACATTTGTCATCTATTGTGTCTAAGGGAAGCCACTATAAGACTTCAAAAGAACTTTGGTTTCCACAGTCTTTATCTTAACCTGAACATTCCCTTTCTATCAATCCCAGGTCTTTGGACAAACTCAACCAATTTGTCAATCAGAAAATGTTTAAATTTACCTATAGCCTGGGAGCCCTCACTTTGAGTTTTCCCACCTTTCTGGACCAAATCAATGTATTTCTTAAATGTTTGATTGATGTCTCACGCTTCTCTGAAATGTATAAAACCAAGCTGCGCCCCAACCACCTTGGGCACATGTTCTCAGGACCTCCTGAAGGCTGCATCACAGGCCATGGCCACTCACATTTGGCTCAGAATACATCTCTTTAAATATTTTACAGAGTTCATCTCTTTTCGTCAACAACTCCTAACACCTAGCTGAAATCACCTTACAGAGAAAAGGCTTTTGAAGGACATGAAGAAAAAGGGGGCATATGGGATGAAGAAAAAGGAGGCATATGGGATGTTAAGTGCCAGATGAAATTTAAACAGCTAAAATATAGGTGAGGCCAAAAGAGCACCAGGGTAAACAAGAACAGTAAAAGATAGAAAAAAATGAGGAAACAAAAACAAATTTGCAAATTTTGAAAACTTGCTGAGGATTCAAATAACTTTAACCCTGTAATTGGGTTGGATTGCTTTAAAATATGCTTTAAAAATATTACCACTGTCAGAGACCAGAATATGCCACTTCAAAATATGACTGTAAGAGACCAGAATATGCCACCCCAAAATACGACTGTAGGAGGCCAGAATATGCCACCTCAAATGTGCCTCTTTGGCATAAGGATTACTTTGAGCTGATTATTTTGAGAAACAGCAGACACAGGAAAAGCTCTAAAACAGAGTAGAAGTTACCCTTTTATAATGGAAATTTACATTTATAAAGAAAATCTCTATTTGTAATGGTGTCTCCTTCTCTGTACCAGGAAAATCAGGATGACTGTAAATCACAAGAGAGACTAGTCTATGGAGAAGGTACTGACTTTAATCTACATAGCAAAACTTATTCTTGTCTAATGTGCTTTTCTTGGTTTCCTCCCTGTAACTGACTTTGCCAACACCCTTCTTTCTTTGATTTAGCTAAAGGTGATATTTAGGCCTGAATCTAAGCCACCACTTTGAACTACACATTGCTCTGGGTATCTCCCACGTATATATGAAATATAAATGTTAATAAACTTGTTTGTTTTGCTCCTGTTAATTTGTCTTTTGTTACAAGGACCGCAGCCAAGAACTTATCAGGGAAGAGACAAAATTATTTTTTCCTTACTCATATAACTTATATTTTAATATGTACCACTAGCTGGCTGCAGGATCAATTTCTTCCAGTATAGATGCAAAGTTCAGTATTAATTTTCTCACTGTGTTGTTGTAGGAGTTATTAAGAAATTATTTTAGGCAGATAGAGAGGAAGAGGGCTACTTGGAAAGTTTTTATTTCCTTGAAAGCAGCTCCAGAAATGTTTCTTGTCTAGCAGGAAAGCCCCAGGTCTTAGAGCTGGGCAGGCAACCTTTGATATCCAAATATTAGCCATTAGTAACTGGGTCCACCCAAACATGGAAATTCCAGCTGTCTTCTTCCTTGCCCCCACCTATCCCCGCACATGTAGAACATCATGGTGCCCTGCATTTGCATATTAAAAGCCTAGGGTGGGAGGGCCAGTTTTGTTTTTTTTTTGTTGTTGTTGTTGTTGTTGTTTTGCGAGTGACATGCCTGGTCAAATCAATCCCCTGAGCCCTATGCAAATCAGACACCACCTCCTCCCACCTCCTTATATAAGCAGCCACTTTTCCGTTGCACAAGGGATTTCCTCTCTTGGTTCTGGAGCCCGCCTCCCTCTGTCTCTGTGTGAGGGAGCTTCTTCCTCCTTACTTGCCTATTAAACTCTCCGCTCCTTAAAACCACTCCATGTGTGTCCATGTCATTTTATCTAATTCGACTCGAGGCAAAGAACCCTGGTGATTCTCCACTCAGTGGAGCCATATCAGTGTGTAATGTATTTTGAACTCAAATTACAAACACACTGCTTCTTTTTTAAAAGCAAATTACATGAGACATTAGAAGTCAGTTCATGGGTTTATCAGTCTTTCAACCTTTGTAAGACTTCTCACCTTTGGAGCATGAACGCCCCTCACCATGCCACAGCCCAATGGGTTCAGCTTGCCCACTGGCCAACTGAGTAATAGAGAAAGAGTAATTCATGCAGAGCCAGCTGTGTGGGAGACTAGAGTTTTATTATTACTCAAATCAGTCTCCTTGAGCATTTGGGGATCAGAGTTTTTAAGGACAACTTGATCAGTTGGGGAAGCCAGTGAGCTGGGAGTGCTGATTGGTCAGGTAGGAGATGAAATCATAGGGAACTGAAGCTGTGCTCTTGCACTGAGTCAGTTCCTGGGTGGGGGCCACAAGAGCAGATGTGCCAGTTTATCCATCTGGGTGGTGCCAGCTGATCCATCAAACACAGGAAAATATCCGCCAAATATCGCAAGCACTAACTTTAGGAACAGTTTAGGGAGGGTCAGAATCTTGTATCTTCCAGATGCATGACTTCTAAACCATAATTTCTAATCTTGTGGCTAATTTGTTAGTCCTACAACGGCATTCTAGTCCCTGGGCAAGAAGGAGGTTTGTTTTGGGAAAGGGCTGTTATTGCCTTTGTTTTAAACTATAAACTAAGTTCCTCCCAAAGTTAGCCAGTCTATGCCCAGGAAATAACAAGGGCAGCTTAAAGGTTAGAAGCAAAATAGAGTCAGTTAGTTTAGATCTCTTTCACTGTCTCAGTCCTAATTTTGCAAAGGCGGTTTCACCCAGATGAACATTAAATGTCTTCTACTTCAAAGTACTTGAGTCTCTTTTCTGAACTTCTGACTTCGATTGACATTTTGTGCTTGAAAATCCCAAATAGCCAGTAGAAGTAAATTATCTATAAACAAATGAAAGACTGATCTTGGATCAAGCAATAGATGAAAGAGATAAGCTGTAAAACTAGAATGGCTTACAAAGAGAAGGCAAGCATTTAAGATCAGAGAACGTTGTGACACTATAAGAAGTTAATGAGAACTCCTAAAAGATGTAAAAATAACTGTCCCTACAAACCAAGGAAGATAAGACACCTAAGCAGCTGGCAAAGATTCTTTATTCTTAATTAATTCTCTATTTAGTTAATATGCTGAGTAGAAGGTTTTGCCACATGTCCATCTGTACTAGGGTTATTAAAGGAATATATGAGTTAATGAAAAAACAAAGGCTGTACTCTAGCTCTCTAGCTCACATTGTAAAAATCAAAACTTTATAAAATTTAATCTTTTAAAAAAGGGAGCCAACCTGTGAGAGGAAGGAAAGCATAGCCACCTTTTCCTTTTATTTTAGCTAATCTTATTTTATTTTATTGTAATTTAACAGCAAGATGGGCAGCTGGACTTAATGAGCAAATGTAGCTCATCGCTAGCAACAAAAATTCTCTCTTCCTTCCAGATTAAAATGGAGAGAACTGAAGCTTTTGCTATTTAATCGAATTGCTGGTTTCATGGAGATAATCAATGTTGTCAATAAGAAGTATCTAATACATGGCCATGCCAAAGTAAACAATGCATAAGGGAGTAAATTACATTTCACTTGAAATGCTTGGCTTCTGCTATTGCACTTTTTGTTTTTATCTTGTAAAAGTGTTTGTGTACACTGCTGGCAGAGTACATATCATGATAAATCTTTCTCTATTAAACACACTTAGGGTTCCGGGACTTTGCATTTTCCTACCTGGAAATAGACTCCCTGGTTCCCCCTCCTTTCTCTTACCCCCTCCCCCATCTTTAATGCAACATCTTACCACCCTAGCATTTAACACTTCCGAAAGATGAATTATACCAGTATATCCTTCAGTCAGCAAAAATACCCAGGCTATGTAACTAGAGAAGGACGCAGCTTTTACAAATGCCTGTCATCATATTTAGCACAAAGAGGTAACAGTCTTCTTAAATAATACCCTTACATTTCTCTTTTCTGTGACCTATGGACTTGAGGTTTAAATAGTTTGCAGCTGAAGACTGTTAATTATCATCCTTGGCAATCATTTGCATTTATATAGCAACTTTTATAGGAGCAAATCAAATCATTAAAGCTATTATACTAATGAATGCAAGGCGGTAAGTGTCATTACTTCCATGTACGTGGTGATTCAGTGAGGGTCTCAGAGGGGCCAAGAGAGGAGCCAATTAAGTTCAGGTCACCCAGGTACCTTCCCAGACTCAAATGGTTCCCATGGAGCTCAAGGACCTTGACAGAAATTCCCCAAAACTTTGTTAAGGTCACTTCTGAGCCTAATAAAAAAATTATTTTCTAAAATTGTTGGGAGGCTCTGATTTTACATTTGTGACAGATAAACCCTGTGTATCAGCCTGTATCTGGAGGAGTCCAGCAGTCTTTTCTTGTAAATATATATCTTCATCAAAAAATTCACAAATTCCATCAGAGGTGTGTTCCTGACACTGAGGGACTAGACATTTTGCTTAATCAGGCCCATCAAATTGAGTCTTTGAAAGGTTTTAGAATTGTAGCCTCTCAAGATTAAAACTGACATTGAGGTTATCTGCTTTGATCCCCTCTGAATTTCCTCTATGGCAGTCTACCAAGAGGTCCACTAGCTTATATTTAATTCCAGATACACAGCCAAACAATCACCAATGAAAGAAATTCTGGGTGATAAGACAAAGTCTCTTATTTATTCAGCAGCTTTTAATAGATACTTATAAAACTCTACATAATGCCTTGCCAGTGCCACAGCCTGAGGATACAGCAAAAAACAAGAGAAACACAGTTTCTATCCTCAGGAACCTTTGCCAAATCCCTCTTTACCATGCTGTTAGGATTCCAAAACAGGTTGAGGAAGAATGATATCTGCCTTCCCTGAGCACTACGCCTGAGAGGCTGGAAAAGTCTGCTGGACTACCTTTTTACTCCTGGTAATCACATTCGAAACACTTCAACAAAACATTTCATTAAAAGAAAAAGTCATTTTCTCTGCCACTTGAACTTTTAAATCCTAAAACTTTCTCTGCTCAGCCCTGTGCTTACCTATGATAAACTGTTTCTGAATTCAGTAATTATTTTCGGGGCTGTTTATAAATACTATGTATAACAGCATTTTCTCCTGGCTTATAGGAAGAATACTGGTTCACATATTTTTCCCATTGCCTCAAGCATGGTGCCACCAGCAGACATACTTTCTCCAAGTCAAAAATTGAAGCCTCAAAGTAACTAATAGCAAAGAAACATAACAACATTTACATTCTCAGTCTAGTAACTTTTTTTTTTCCTGTTCTTTTCTTTCTTTCTTTTTATTGGGTTGTGGGGGTGGTGGGAGTGGGTCAGACTATTGGATCTCCAAATAACTTTGGGAACTGGAATGAGATAATGCACACTCCCACACCGACATTTTTATTACACCCTCCCCCAGGCATTTGTTTGAGGCTCAGTGGCATTTCCCAAGCAATCGAAAACAATTAAATGATTATTGTTCTGGTCCTGTGCTACTTTACTAACTGTCACATTAAGATGACAGATGCTTTCTTATTTATCCAAGGGCAATTTCTTTCTAACAACTCAATAGAATTGTCTGAAAGATGAGACGGCAAGGTCATAAAGACAGGGGGAGAGGATGGCTATTCAGGTAGGGTCTAATGGAGTCTCCAGGATTCAGGATTTGGTCTTGCCAGACCTCAGATCACAATACCACAATACCACAAATATGGCATCTTGGCATGTTGAGCATCTTAAGCAGAAGGAAATCAAGAAATCCACAGCAGCAGCAAGGTTGTCACCCTGACTTTCTGCCTTTATGTCCTGAAGCAGGTCATAAAAGAAGCCTCTGACTACTTTTGCTGAAAGTAAGTCAGAAGACCCTCGTTCCACAGGGTCTTTACTCTTCATCTAGAAACCAAGAAGAATCTGAAAAAACAGGCATTAGTAAGTTCCTCCAGCTTATTAGAATTAGATCATACTCTTTGTCTTCCAGTCACACTTCTGCGCGACTATCCATAAAAGTAGGGTTTTCCATAGATATTTGGGTCTTTATTTCTGAACACTTCTATGTCATATAAAACTACTAAATAAATTTATATATTTTTTCTTATTAATCTGCCTTTTGTTATAGAGGTGTCAGCCATGAACCTCGCAATGGGTGAGGAGAAAAATATATATTTTTTTCTCTCCTACAGCCTTCAACTTTAAATAATTTTTTTTCATACCCAGAGTTCACTGGGGCCTTGGGACTAACGTTGTTAGCCATTTCATAAGTCATCAAAATATAAGTTGAATTTCTAAGCAGTAATTTTCAAAGGGAAATATAGCTTTAGCTGATTAGAATACTTATGTCTAAGATTTTAAGGGACCTATTGCTAGTGTCAGTGTTCACAGAAAGATAAATATTACTGAAAAGGCTTGACTGTAAAAAAACATGTAATATACTGAGAATAAAATAGAACAGAGCTAATGTGGTGGACTCTCGAGTTAGAAATCAGCAGCTTAAATCTCAGCATCACCAGTTGCTAACAATGAAACTAATTACTTCGCATCTCAATTGGTTTATCAGCAAAATTACTATAAGAATAGTTCCTAATTCATGTGAGAAACAAATGAACACAGAACACAGCTCTGAGTAAGCACTCAATATATATTAGATATGTTTCTGAAATCACAGTAAAAAGATTTGCACAATCTAAAACCATATTTCACCCAAAGTCTGATGAACTCTCTGAGATCACAGTGGAATTTACTGCACCGGTGCTTCACAACTGGAGTTTACCAGATTCACATTCTTCTCCTTTGGGTAGCTTTATCTAAGTTTTCCCAGAGTCTTACCATTTCTCACCACACCCCAGGCAAACTTTTCGTTATTCTAAGACTCAGCATTTTTCTTAAGCCTCCTCCTGGTGACTACTCTTGTCTTCATTATTGGTTTGAGATGTTGTCAAGTTTTCCCCACTATGTATTTCCAAACCACCACTTAGAGTAAGACTTTTTTTAGAGATGGACAGTCTATTGATTAATGAGTGATTTGTACTAGGTTCAATTTAAAGCTAGATTTAAATTATTATCCAGAAACCAGTCTCTGAGAGCACTTGGGTTTGTAAAACCCCCTATGTGCTTACTAGAACTGGAATATTCTAGAGCTGTGCTCTCCGATAAGATAGTCACTTATTCCACTTGGCTGCTGAACATTAATCCATATTGAGCATGTTGTAAGTGTAAAATGCACCCCAGGTTTCAGACTTTAGTAAAAGAACAAAATGTAAACAATACCATAAATAAATGTTAGTATTAATTACATGTTAAAATAGACTATTGTTGATTTTTGGGTTCAACAAATACATAAATGATTAACTTCACTTGTTTCTTTTTACTTTTAAATTTTAAAATTTTTTTTTTTTTTTTTTGGTCGGGGGAGTCTTGCTCTGTCACCAGGCTGGAGTGCAGGGGCACGATCTTGGCTCACTGCATCCTCCGACTCCCTGGTTCAAGCGATTCTCCCGCCTCAGCCTTCTGAGTAGCTGGAATTACAGGCAGGTGCCACCATGGCCAGCTAATTTTTGTACTTTTATTAGAGACAGGGTTTCACCATGTTGGCCAGGCTGGTCTCAAACTCCTGACCTTGTGATCTGCCTGCCTTGGCCTCCCAAAGTGCTGGAATCACAGGGGTGAGCCACCGGGCCCGGCCCCTTTTTACTTCTTCAATGTGATTATTAGAAAATTTACAACTACATATGTGGCTAGGAATAATTTTGATATAATCAAAATAAATGAACAATGATGTTTATCATAACACTATTTTGCAAACAACCTAAAATATTCATCCACAGGGAAATGATAAGCTATATTAGTATACATCCACCCTAAGGAATGCCTTGTAGCCCTTTAAACTGAACATATCGATTACTATTTCTTTTAGTTAGCAACTGCTGCTTTCACTGCCCAGTTCCCATTCTCCCAAACCCCAATTTTTTCAGAAAAATTACCCTAATTTTCTCTGGAAAATCATTCGTTCATATTCTCAGTCTTTACTCTCTGAGCTGGTCCTACCTTTAAGATGCAGAAGGCAGGTAATCCAAGTTTGGCCAATTTGTGTCTTTATCCTCCAGCCTCAGTAATTTGTTCAAGAGTGGGCACTTGCTTGAAGTCAGTTCAGAGCAAATTTGGACTTTCAAAGAACTGGACTTGAAGGAAAGAAGACTGTTAAAGCCTGTTGATATTTGTAGCCAGTTGTCCTCTTCTCAGTGACCACCCATATGTGAAGTCAGTCCCATTGTTACAGTGTTACCAATGTACCACAATGTAGCAGTCTTTCATTGTGATGTGTCACCTGGAGTTCTTTGTCTCAAAACAGAGAGAATTAAGGAACGTGGACACAAAGGGTGAGGTTGGAGCAAAAATTTAATAAGTGAAAGAAGCTCTCTGCAGCAGAGAAGGGGACCAAACGGGTTGCTGTTTTTACAGTTGAATGCAGAGGCTTTTATAAGAAACTGATGGGGCCTGGATGTCTAATTTTCACAAGGCACAAATTTCTGGTAGCTCCATCCCCATCCTCCTAGTGTGTATGTGGGCCCTTAGCTTGAGTTACTCTATATTGCTTTGTTCCCCTTAACTGCACATGTGTTAGAGGATGGAATTTTCTATCGTGGGCATGTCTGGGCAGGTCACCTGTGTAGCCTTTCTTGTCTGTGCTGCAGTAGGCATGTCTTAGGCAAGCTCTGCTGTGCAAGTTCCCTTATCTGTGCCCACAGCTTGATTTTTCAGGCTGTTCTTTTGTTCAAAAGAATTCAACCAAGGGCCCACCCTAACCGTCTGCTTGACCATTTTCTTCTGTTCTCCTCTCTCACAATCAAAGCTAATCTTTGAGCTTTCAAAGAACTGAATCTGAAGGTGGCAGGATCACATATGACACTGTTGATATTTTAGCCAAGTTGTCTCCTTTATAGTGACCAAACAAAGTTCATGCCCTCATGGAATCAACAGGTTAAGGTAATGTAGAATACTTTAGAGTAAGTAAAATAGACTAATAAAATAGAGGCAGGGTGAGGAGGGGCCTACTTTATCTAAGATTGTCAGAGTAAACATTTCTAAGAAGATGACATTTGAGCTGAGAACTGAATGAAAAAAAGAAAACAAACAAACAAACAAAAAATCCAGATACATGAAGACCAGGGAAAATGTGGACGATGATAGGCAAAATTTCTAAGGAAGGAAGAGCCTAGACATGACTGAATATTAAAAGGAAGTCTACTGGGAATAGGGAACCAGGCAAAAATATTAAGAGAATAAACTATAAAGACAGGTGACATCTAGATTATGTAAGGCCTTGCAGACATTGCATTTGAAATTTATTCAATTTGCAGTGCAAAGCCATTGGAAAATTTTAAGCAGAAAGGTGATGTCCACAAAACTTAGAGAAAAATATTTCGTTTTTTTGCTCTTATAATAGGTTTTCCATAGTCAAGTATCTTAAGCTCACTAGAAGGAAAAAATAAAGGTATATTTATAAATATCATTCAGAGTAATCTTATTTGTGAAATTTCTAACATGTCATAATTCTCATTATTATTTTTTTTGAGACAGAATCTCACTCTGTCACTCAGTCTGGAGTGCAGTGGTATGATTCAGCTCACTGCAACATCTGCCTCCTGGGTTCAAGCGATTCTTGTGCCTCAGCCTCCCGAGTAGCTGGGATTACAGGCAAGTGCTACCATGCCCTGCTGATTTTTGTATTTTTAATAGAGACGAGGTTTTACCATGTTGCCCAGGCTGTTCTTGGACTCCTGACCTCAGGTGATCCGCCTATCTCAGCCTCCCAAGTGCTGGGATTACAGGCGTGAGCCACTGCACCAGACCTATTATTAATTTTTAAAACATGATAGTTATGCCAATTGCTGTGTAAGTGTGATATTGCATAAAGCAGAGCTATAGTGTTTCTCCAGCCTAGTTCCCATTCAATCTGAACAGTGTTCTGGAGGTGAGGACAACAGAAATAAGGGAGTTAGGAATCAAAAGGCTGGTGAGTGTTCTAGAGGAGAACAACTAAGACAACCACACAAATGAATAGTCTCAGAGCCTCTGTTCCAGAAATCAAGAGAGGTCTAAAAGAAAAACTGGCAAGATAAAGCTGTAAGTGACATTTCACATTTGATATTGATTTTGTTTTTTGCTCCTAGGTATAACTAACACCCTATTCTTGACCGCATCTGTAGGAAACTAAAAAAACATGTTTTTTTTTTTTTCATTAAGCAGATGTGTGAATGCCATTTGCTTTTCACTAATGGCTAAAAACACTTAGTTTACCAAACCAATCCACTTAGGCTTAGGTAATAGATACTGAAAACAAACTAAAATTGAAATCCTAGAGAGCTTTGTGAAAAATTGTGAGTTACTTTTCAGCAAGTAACTTACTCTCAGGTTTCCCATGGTAAGCACATTCTATGCTCTTTAGGGGTGGCCAGTTGCTTGTTCGTTTTTTGTTTGTTTGCTGTTTGTTTGCTTTTTGTTTGTTTTTTTTGAGACAAAGTCTCGCTCTGTTGTCCAGGCTGAGTGCTCGGCTCACTACAACCTCCATCTCCTGGGTTCAAGTGATTCTTCTGCTTCAGTTTCCTTAGTAGCTAGGATTACAGGTGCCCATCATCACTCCTGGCTAATTTTTTGTATTTTTAGTAGAGATGGGGTTTCACTATGTTGGCCAGGCTGTTCTCAAATTCCTGACCTCGTGATGGGGTGGTCATTTTTTAAACCTTCTTCAATATGCAGTGCCCCATCACTAGTACCTAGAACTGCATCCTGCCCCCTATGTCAAGCAAAACCTATGCCTGTCTTCACCACAATCAGTGAATATGACTAAATAGAGGTGCTAAACATACTTACGGTTACATATATTTTTATTGAACAAACATTTATTGAGCACTTATTTACAAATTACTACTTATAAGAAATACTATGAAAAACACAAGCAAGGTGTCTGTTCAAGGAGCTCAAACAATCATTAAAGCACAGTGGGGTAAGTGATATAATGAACATATCCATAAGATATTACAGAAACATAGAAAAGTTATATGGGGGTACTTCCTGAAGATGATGATGCTTGAACTGATCCTTGAAAGAAACATAAGAAATAACCACAATAAGAAGCAGTGAGGGGCACTCCAGGGAGAGGCAGGAGAAAACATGAAGTATGAGACAATATATTGTTAATCTGATTGTATAATTCAAGCATCTGGCAATAGGCGGAAAGAAGAAAACACATTTAGGCCTTTTACATCTCTAAAATCAGTAAATAAGATCTACAGGTAATATGCTGATGAACAAAACATAAAACAAAAATAGAAATCAATATAATCAAAAGCTTAAGGGATTTAATAAACTATCCAGTTAAGTAAAATGACATCCATTCTATTTCTGGTGTGTTCCAATATTTATTTTTAGATATTTATTTTTTAAGTTAATCCACAAGTTTAAAAATATTATAGTCTGCTTTATTCCAATGCTATTTTGAAGCAGTCTTATAAATATACACATCAATCACTAAATAACAAGGTAAGAAAAAGTAAAGGTGATGGGGAATAAATCATACATAATATTTATGCAGTACATTTATGCTATAAGGCCTGTGGTTCCATAGGTCACTAGCTATCCCTTCAAGGAAACTTGCTATGAGCACAGTAGCTGGAAAAGATCTTCCAGTTACCACATCTTTCGATCCTCTACAGTTCAGTGTTTTCCCCAAGGCCATGCTCACTCAGAGTTGCTCAAAGCTAATGACTGAACTTGGTGGGGGTATTATAGCTGGGCCATTTCTGCTAACACAAGACTTCTTTGATAGTTAATCTTCACTTTGTAGCTCCCCCTTGTCTGGGCTGAGACTTCCCCAGAAGTACATTGTAGCATAAAGCTTTTCCTAACCAATTATTCTTCCTTCCCTCTCCTCTTTCCCGGGTTTCAGAACTGCATCATCGTCTGAATAATCTCTCTGCCTACTCTTTCACTTCCTCACCTTTATGTTTACAGACATTGCTTCCAATACATCTCTTGCATGGCTAATTCTATTTTGACCTCTGTTGCTTGGAAAACTCTGATATAAAATTCTTATACTTCCTAGGAACGTTGGGCAAAGCAGCTTTAAAATATCTACGGGCATTGGAAAGTTATCAGACAATAAAATTTTGAGGGCTAGGGTTTGGGGTGTGGGGGGCAAGAGGAAAACCAAAGAGATGAGCTTGGCAATTAGTACTATGTTTCCTGTTGAGGGATTGGCTAACTCCGAAAGTATCTTTGGAAAGTTTGAGAATGTAGGCAGAGATTTTGGCAGAGAGAAAGGGCTGAGAGAACCAAAACTGGAGTTCAGAACCCACTAAGCAGGAAGGGTTCTGGCACATGCATAGGTTTCTGTTGGGACTTTAAAGGGCTAAACATAGGAATAAGGGTGAAAGTTAAGAGAAGGATTAAGTTTCAGCTTCAAATTATCTCAGACCTTTATTGTATTAAGATGATCTGGTATTGCTATTGTCCCCGCTAGATACATGCTAGAAATAAAATTAAAATTTTTTTTGGAGAGTGAAAACATCTAGAGTCTCAAATTATGTTTACAATTTTTACGTTTAATATAAAAAGTACATTTAATGTAAAAAAAGTAATAAAAGCCCCAAACATAAAAAAAGATTTCATCAAAAAACCAAGAAAAAGAGCAAATAAAATCCCCACCAGAGCTATACATAAGTGAATTTTCAAATCCACTATAAAACTGTGATTAATATGCTCAAGTAATTAAAATACAAGGTGGACAATTTAGGCAGAGGACTGGAAACTGTATCAATTAGAAATCCTAGCACTGAAAAATATAATAACAATGTGATATATATATATATATATAATAAATATATCTCTCTTCATTATTATATAAATATGTAACAAAATATAATATAATGTAATATAAAATATAAAAATATAATAAAGTAAAATTCAATCAATGGCATTAACAAATTAGGCACATACAAAGTAAGAATTGTCAAACTGGAAGGTGGTTCAAAAAATAAATCTAGACTAAATCATTGAGAGGCAAGATGACAGAAAATTAAAAAAGGAGTGGAGAAATATCTATTATTTTAAAAAGGATTATTAAACAAGTAATTGGAGCACCAGAAGCAAAAGGGAAACAGACTGGGCCAGGAACAATATTTCAACCTAATCGTCATTCACCAATATATATGGATATTTATCTTAAGTGTAGATAAGTTTGAATGCCCAATCATCTTCACAATATTCTCATTTTTTGCTGATACTCAGACTTTAGCATCCATAGGAGTTACTGTACAAGGTGACCACACAAGTATACGCTAAGAGATTTTTCAGCACTTATTTTGATAATACAAGATATTTGCCTCTTAGAGTTGCCGTCAGAATCTAACTGTAACTTAAATATGATTTCAATGTATACTTACAAAAATCCTCAGGTTATTTTTATGCAGCTGGAACAAAACCAGCATTTAAAAATAGGTGGCCTAAAAAATAAGGTCTCAGCTCCTTGCCATGATGTTTAAGACCCCACATTACAAACACCGCATGTTCTCACTCATAGGTGGGAATTGAACAATGAGAACACATGGACACAGGAAGGGGAACATCACACACTGGGGCCTGTTGTGGGGTGGGGGGAGGGGGAAGGGATAGTGTTAGGAGATATACCTAATGTTAAATGACGAGTTAATGGGTGCAGCACACCAACATGGCACATGTATACAACATATGTAACAAACCTGCGCATTGTGCACATGTACCCTAAAACTTAAAGTATAATTAAAAAAAAAGAAAAGAAAAGGCAAAAAAAAAAAAACCCCACATTACCAAGTCTTAATTGCTAAGCTTCCTCTACTCATGTTCTTTCTATTATTTTATGTTTGAATTTACTTAGATTTTTATAAAACTTCAAAACTATTTTGTTTCTTCAAACGAAAATATCCTAGCTTGTCTTCATATTTTCAAGTTTAAAATGTTATTTAACCAGAAGAACCTGATGTAATTTCTCAGTGTGTGCAATTGTTATGGGACAACTGAAACCAAAATAAAGAATATAGAGTATTTGAAAAATCTGAATGATAATGTTTATTTGATTTTTAGATATACATTATTTTTAGATGTATATTGAATAGTGAATACATTCAATGTATATCTAAAAATTAAATAAATATTGCCAACCCCTCATAGAATGTTTTAAAACATATAAGAAAAATAACCTCAATCAATTTTCAGAAGTAAAACTCATAAGGCGACAGTGCAGTAATACTAAAAAATTAACAGTATTCACACTCACTGTAACAAACAAACCATTGTTTTAAAAATTGCCAAAGTATTAGAAAATAATTAAGTTATATTATTAGCTTTCACCATAGACCACAATGAATTTTTGATGCCTTAGAGAATAAAATGTAAATTATAGAGTTGTAAAAATTAGCATAGCAAAGACGATTTGGGTAACCTTAGCTTATCGAATGACTTTCTTATGATAAAAGCAATGAGATAAACTACACTGAAAAGATTTTAAGGAGGAGGCCAACATGGCTGACTAGAAGCAGCTAGTGTGCATCACTCTCATGGAAAGAAAGAGTAGCAAGTAATTATTAGATCTTCAACTGCAACATTCAACTGGAACACATTGGGATTCATCAAAGAAATAACTTGACCTATGGAGAACAGAGAGGAGCGAGACAGGACAACCTCCCACTCAGGTGTGGCATGGAGCCAGGGGAGACTTTTCTACCTTGGGGAAATGATGAGCAATTGAGTCCCCAGGGACAGACACTTCTGCCATGGACCTTTGCAACCCTAGGCTCAGGTGATCCCCTTGTAAGCTCACACCTCTGGAACCTCCAGACTGACACAGAGAGCTATGTGGAGTCTGGACAGAGCCTCTGCTCAGGCACACATGGAGTCCCAGGAGCATGTCAACTAGAAAATCTAGAAGAAATGGATACATTCCACACATACGGTCTCCCAAGTTTGAACCAGGAAGAAATTTAATCTCTGAACAGACGAATAAAGAGTTCTAAAATTGAATCAATAATAGAAAGCTTACCAACCAAAAAGCCCAGGACCAGATGAGTTTACAGCTGAATTCTACCACAAGTATAGAGAAGAGCTGGTACCATTTCTACTGAAACTATTCCAAAAAGTTGAAAAGGAGGGGCTCCTCTCTAACTCATTATATGAGGCCAGAATCATCCTGATACTAAAACCTGGCAGAGACACAACACACACACACACACACACAGAAAAATTCAGGCCAATATTCTTGATGAACATAGATGCAAAAAGCCTCAAAAATACTAGCAAACCAAATCCAGCAGCACATCAAAAAGCTAATCCACCATGATCAAGTAGGCTTCATCCCCAAGATGCAAGGTTGGTTCAACATATGCAAACAAATAAATGTGATTCATCACGTAAACAGAACTGAAAACAAAAACCACAAGATTATATCAATAGATGCAGAAAAGGCTTTGGATAAAATTCAACATTCCTTCATGTTAACAGCCCTCAATAAACTAGGCACTGAAAGAACATACTTCAAAATAATAAGAGGCATCTATAACAAAACCGCGGCCAACATTATACTGAATGGAAAAAAGCTGGAAGCAGTCCTCTCCAAAACTCTTAACAAGAGCAAGATGCTCTCCTTCACCACTCCTAGTCAACATAGTAGTGAAAGTCCTGACCAGAGCAATCAGGCAAGAGAAACAAATACAAAGCATTTAAATAGCAAGAGAGGAAGTCAAACTATCCCTGTTAGAAGACAGCATGATTCTATATCTAGAAAACCTCATAATCTCTTCCCAAAGGCTCTTTAATCTGATAAACAACTTCAGCAAAGTTTCAGGTTACAAAATCAATCTACAAAAAATCAGTAGCATTTCTATACAACAACATCCAAGCTGAAAGCTAAATCAAGAATGCAATCTCATTCACAATTGCCACAAAAAGAATAAAATACCTACAGATACAGCTAACCAGGGAGGTGAAAGATCACTACAATGAGAATTAGAAAACACTGCTCAAAGAAATCAGAAATGACACAAGCAAATGAAAAAATATTCCATGCTCATGGATAGAAAGCACCAATATTGTTAAAATGTACTTACTTTTCAAAGCAATTTGCAGATTCAATGCTATTCCTATCAAACTGCTGAAACAGGAGAAGTTCCCTTGTCCCCCTCGCAGGGCATGTGATGGGGTTGTGGCTCACTTCTTCAGTGTCCTGTTGCTCAAAACCCCTAAGGCGAGCAGGCAGATGGGCAGGTCGTGGGAAGCGTGGGCTCCGACCCCATGGCAGCATCTAGGGTTAAGTGTTTACAGCTCCTGAAGCCCCAGTGTGTGTTTTACAGTGTGCTCTTTCAGCTTAGCCATCCACAGGTGACTTGTATTTAATCAGCTCAATCAGACCTTTTGCCTTATTGCAAGGACAGAGGGCTTTCTGTATCCCAGGTTCTTGCCTTAGTATACTGAAAATATCGAATCACACGTGGGTTTGGAGAATGAGTGCAAGGTTTTATTGAGTGAAGGTAGCTCTCGGCGAGGTGAATGGGGAGGCTTGAAGGGGACAGAGTAGGAAGGTGGTTTTCCCCAGGAGTCGGGCTTCCCAGTGGCCGGACTCTCCTCAGACCACCCTCAGCTGAATTCCACTTCATCCGCATAGTTCTGCAGTGGATGGCCTGCTGGGGTCCGTCAGTGTGTTATTCTGCAGGTGTGTTCTTCCACCCCTCTGCTTCTCTCGACGTCCAGCCACTTGTGTCTGCCCACTAGGGTCTCGGGGTTTTTATAGGAATAGGATGGGAGTGTGGTGGGCCAGAGTGGTCTTGGAGAATGCAACATTTGAGCATGAAAATAGGAGTGCCTGTCGTCACCTAGGCCAGTGGGCACAAGCCCGAAGATGGTGCCCTTAACAGGACCCCTCCTTTCTCCTACCTAGCACTTCTCTGCCCCACTCCGATATCACTACCAATGTCATTCTTCACAGAACTAGAAGAAAAAATTAAATTCATATTTAACCAAAAAAGAGCCTGAAGAGCCAAAGAAGTTCTGAGCAAAAAGTACAAAGCTGGAGGCATCAGGCTACCTGACTTCGAACTATATTACAGGGCTACAGGGCTACAGTAACCAATACAGCATAGTACTGGTACAAAACCAGACACACAGGCCAATGGAACAGCATAGGGAACCCAGAAATAAGGCCACACACTGATGACCCATCTGATCTTTGACAAAGCTGACAAAAACCAGCAATGGGAAAAGGACTCTCTATTCAATAAATGATGCTAGAATAACTTGCTCTTCATACACAGAAGATAGAAACTAGATCCCTACCTTAAACCACATACAAAAATCAACTCAAGATGAACTAAAGACTTAAATGTAAAATGAAAAGCTATAAAAACCCTGAAAGATAACCTAGGAAATACCATTCTGACACAGGACTTGGCAAGGCTTTAATGGCAAAGTTGCCAAAACCAATTGCAACAAAACAAAAAATTGACAAATGGGATACAATTAAAACGAAAGAGCCTCTGCAGAGCAAAAGAAACTATCAACAGAGTGAACAAACTACAGAATAGGAGAAAATATTTGCAAATTATGCATTCAACAAAGATCTAATATCCAGAATCTATAAGGAACTTAAACAAATTTAGAAGCAAAATCAAACAACCCTATTAAAAAGTGGGCAAAGGACATGAACAGACATTTTTCAAAAGAAGATATGCATGCAGTGTATACAAGCCTATAAAAAATGCTCAACATCACTAATTATTAGAGAATTGCAAATCAAAACCACAATGAGATACCATTTCACATTAGTCAGAATGGCTATTAGTAAAAAGTCAAAAAAAAAAAAAAAAACCAGATGCTGCTGAGGTTACAGAGAAAAAGGGAATGCTTGTACACTGCTGGTGGGATTGTAAATTGGTTTAGCCATTGTGAAAAGTAGTCTGGCAATTCCTCAAATAACTTAAAACTGAGCTGCCATTTGATCCAGTAATCCTTTTATTAGGTATATACCCAAAAGAATATAAATTTTTCTACCATAAAGACACATGAACACAGATGTTCATTGTGGCACTATTCGCAGTAGCAAAGACATGAAATCAACCTTAGCATCTATCAGTGGTAGACTGGATAAAATAAAATGTGGTACTGTGGTACATTTACACCATGGAATACTAGCCAGCCATAAAAAAGAGTGAGATCATGTCCTTTGCAGGCACATGGGTGGAGTGGGAGGCCATTATCTAAAACAGGAACAGAAAACTAAATACCACATACTCTCACTTTATAAGGGCGCTAAATGATGAGATCACATTGACACCACATAGAGGGGAACAACACACACTGTGGCCTGTTTGAGGGTGGAGGGTGGCAGGAAGGGGAGGATCAGCAAAATTACCTATTGGGTACTATGCTTATTACATGTGTAATGAAATAATCTGTATACCAAACCCAAGTGACAAGCAGTTTACCTATATAACAAATCTGCACATATACCTCTGAACCTAATAAAAGTTAAAAAAAGTTTTTTAAAAATAGGTAATCTAATACTTTTGCATATCAAAAATATCATAAAATTTAAAGAAAAACTGAGAGACACATTCGCACCAAATTTTACAGAATAATAGATTAATGTTATCTTACATATATTTCTAGACAACTGTTAAGGGACCCTAATGTTTTTGTTTCTCTAATAAGTGCATATCTGTTTCTTTTACCACTGTGTTTTTATTGCCTTTAATCATACTTAAGACTGTTTTCTCAACTATCAAAGTTCTGCTTGTTCTAAAGGTAAAATGCACAGAATTAAATATGTCTCTTCAGTAAAATAGCTCCATTATAAGATGACTCAGATGGGAAAATGAACTAGCTTCTGACCTGTATGTGCTATTTTTAATCTAGATAGTCTTATTTTATACAGTCTAAATCAATATAAATCACATAAAAGGTCTCATCTCTTGCATGAGCATCATTTTCTGATCAAAATATATTTTCTATCTCTATGAGAAGTAGCATTTCATCTTGAGAATAAAATTTTGATACAGTCTAGTATAGCTATAAAAATAACTGGTACAAATATGAACACACTTAGAAATGAATATCATTAGAAAGTGAATAACGTATAGTTGTTAAAAGGGGAAAATTCCAGGACTATTCACCTAGGTTTATATACATTTAATATAATAAATACATTTGTTAAATTAAACCCATACATCTCCATACATATATCTCCATATCTATATGAACCCATATATATGGATATTTATTTATTTACATATTTACATAATAAATATAGGTTGCTGCAATAATTATTGTGTTTTTTGCCATTACTTTCCACAACAAAAATTGCAATTACTTTTGCACCAATATATAAGTATATACACACACACACACATACATACACACACATATACATATGTTTGTATATGTATGTATAAAATTTGTAATTGTACCTACTTAGAGGTATTATTATTATTTAGGTAAAATTAGCTAATTAGCTTTGCTCAGAGAAATTTAAAAGCATATGTATTTTATTCTTCACAGACACCCAATAATTATATAAAGAAATATGTCAAATTTATCGATAAAGACATTAAACAAAAATATAATGAATTACCTTAGTTTACTCATAAATTATCAAATCTAAAACTAATGCTCATTGTTACAAAGGATGTTAAAATAGACATGCTAATATATTGTTGATGTCAGTACAAAGAGAGAAAAGTTTTTCAGAGAGCAATTTTCCAAGAAGTCTTAAAAATATCCATACCTTTTGGTCTGTGTATTCTACTTCTCAGAATGTACACTATAGAAATGATCAAAAATTCTGACCAAAATGTATAAGCATGTCAATCAAATCATAATTCGTAATATTAAGAATAGAAATAATCCTACATTTCCAATAGTGCTATAAAATAATAAAATAAATTACAGTCTATCTGTATGTTAGACAACTATATAGCATTAAAAATTACATTCTCAAAAAGTCTTAATGTCCTGGGAAGCTAAAACTATAAAGTTAATTGAAACTAATTATAAATAATAATGTTAACTCTGCATAATTTTGACTAACAAATTTAATATCAACAATGTTTTTAGACTAAGTTTTATTTGTACTTGATTTTTTTTTCTAAATTTTCATATTTCTCATTTGAGATAGCCTACTTTTATTAATTGTCTCTCTTTTTCCTTTCTCTTTAGTCTTTAGGTACAGAGAGTTAAATTCATCTTATTTCTTAGTTCATTGCTATTATTATCATCAACGTATTTTATTTTTCCCTCAACTTCATTCTGCATATGTACATGCATACATGCAGATATTTATATGTGCATGTACATGTGTAAAATCTTAGGAACACATGTATTGTTATACTTTTTTTTTTTTTTTTTGAGATGGAGTCTCACCCTGTCACCCAGGCTGGAGTGCACTGCCACAATCTCAGCTCACTGCAACCTCCGACTCCTGGGTTCAAGCAATCCTCCTGCCTCAGCCTCCTGAGTAACTGGTATTATAGGCACGTGCCACCACACCCAGCTAATTTTTGTATTTTTAGTAGAGACACTGTTTCACCATGTTGGTCAGGCTGGTCTCGAACTCCTGACCTCGTGATCCACCCACTTTGGCCTCCCAAAGTGCTGGGATTAAAGGCGTGAGCCACCGCACTCGGCCTATTTTGCTTTTGTAATGCAACAAAATACAAATTTGTAAGTAAAAACGTAGTCTATTTTTTTTATATATTTTATTCTTTAATTTCTGTGGGTCCAAGCAGGTGTATATATATTTATGGGGTACATGAGATATATTGAAACAGGCATGCAATGTGAAATAAGCACACCATGGAGAATGGGGTGTCCATCCCCTCAAGCATATTACACTCTTCAAGTTATTTTAAAATATACAATTTAGTTATTAGTGACTATAGCCACTGTACTGTGCTATCCAATAGTAGGTCTTATTTATCCTTTCTGTGTTTTTTTTATAACTATTAACAAACTTCACCTCCCCCATATTCCCCACTAACCTTCCCAGTCTCTGGTAACCATCCTTCTACTTTCTGTGTCCATGAGGTCAAATGTTTTGGTGTTTAGATCCCACACATAAGTGAGAACATGTGATGTTTGTCTTTCTGTAGCTGGCTTATTTCACTTAACATAACCATCTTCAGTTCCATCCATGTTGTTGAAAATGACTGGATCTCATTCTTCATTATGGCTGAATAATACTCCTTTTTGTTTACATACCACATTTTTCTTATCCATTCATCTGTTGATGGACACTTAGGTTGAACCATCTTTGCATCCCCAGGATAAATCCCACTTGGTCATGATAAATGACCTTTCTAATGTATTGTTGAATTGAGTTTGCTAGTATTTTGTTGAGAATTTTTGCATCAATATTCATCAGATATAGTGGCTTATAGTTTTCTTTTTTTTAATGTATCTTTGTCTGGTTTTCATGTCAGGGTAATATTGGCCTGGTAGAACGAGTTTGGAAGTATTTCCTCCTCTATTTTTTGGAATAGTTTGAGAAGGATTGGTATTAGTGCTTTTTTAAATGTTTGGTAGAATTCTACAGCAAAGCAATCAGATAACAGGCTTTTCTTTACTGGAACTCTTTATCATGGCTTTCAGCTTGTTACTTGCTATTTGTTCTGTTCAGGTTTTGGGCTTAATGGTTCAGTCTTGGTAGGTTGTATGTAGCTAGGAATTTGTCCATTTATTCTAGATTTTTAAATTTTTTGGCATATAGTTGCTCATAGAAGCCACTAATGAACCTTTGAATTTCAGTGGTATAAGTTGTAATCTCTCCTTTTTCATTTCTGATTTTGTTTATTTGGATCATCTCTCTTTTTTTCTTAGTCTGGCTAATGGTTTGTCAATTTTGTTTAACTTTTCAATAAACAGCTTTTTGTTTCTTTGATCTTTTGTATTGCTTTTTTCATTTCAGTTTTATTTATTTCTACTCTGATCTTTATTATTTCTTTTCTTCTACTAATTTTGGGTTTGGCTTACTCTTGCTTTCCTTTTTTTTTTTTTTTTTTTTTTTTTTGAGACAGAGTCTCGCTCTGTAACCAAGGCTGGAGTGCAGTGGGATGATCTCGGCTCACTGCAACCTCTGCCTCCTGGGTTCAAGCGATTCTTCTACCTCAGCCTCCTGAGTAGCTGGGACTACAGATGAATGCCACCCATGCCCAGCTAATTTTTGTATTTTTAGTAGAGACGGGGTTTCACCATGTTGGTCAGGCTGGTCTCAAACTCTTGACCTCGTGATCTGCCCACCTCTGCCTCCCAAAGTGCTGGGATTACAGGTGTGAGCCGCTGTGCCCGGCTGGTTTTCTAGTTCATTAAGACGCATCATTAGATTGTTCATTTGAAGTATTTTTTCTTTCTTGAGGTAGGCAGCTATAGCTATAAATTTTTTTCTTAGTACCGCTTTTTCTGTATCCCATAGGTTTTTGTATGTTGTGTTTCCATTACTATGTGTTTCAAGAATTTTTTCAATTTCATATTTAATTTATTCCTTGACCCACTGGTCATTCAGGAGCATATTGTTTAGTCTCCAGTATTTGTATAGTTTCCAACATTCCTCCTATTATTAATTTCTAGTTTTATTCCATTGTTATCAGAGAAGATGCTCGATATTATTTCAATTTTTCTGAATATTTTAAGACTTGTTTTCTCACCTAACACATGGTCTATCCTCGAGAATAATTCACGTGCTGTGGAAAAGAATGTGTATTCTGCAGCATGGATGAAATGTTATGTAAACATCTATTAGATCCATTTGGTCTACACTACAGATTAAGTCTGATGTTTCTTTGTTGATTTTCTGTCTGGAAGATTTGTCCAATGCTGAAAGTGGGGTGTTAAAATCTCCAGCTATTATTGTGTGGGGACCTATTTTTCTCTTTAGCTCTAATAATATTTCCTTTATATATCTGGATGCCCCCATGTTGACTGTGTATATATTTAAAATTGTTATATCCTTTTGGTGAATTGACCCCTTTATCATTATATAGTGACCTTCTTTGTCTCTTCTCATAGTTTTTGTCTTGAAATCTATTTTGTCTGATGTAAGTATAGTGACTCCTGCTCTTTTGTTTGGTTTCCATTATCATGGAATATCTTTTTCCATCCCTTTATTTTCAGTCTGTGTATCTTTATAGGTGAAGTATGTTTCTTACAGGCAACAAATCAATGGGTTTTGTTTTTTCATCCATTCAGCTAGTCTCTGTCTCTTGACTGGAGAGTTTAGTCCATTTACATTCAATGTTATTATTGATAAGTATGGACTTACTCCTGCCATTTTGTTATTGTTTTCTGGTCTTCTCTTCCTTTTTTTTCTTTCCTTCCTGTCTTCCTCTAGTGAAGATAATTTTATCTGGTGATATGATTTAGTTTTTTGCTTTTTATTTTTTGTGTATTCATTGTATGAATTTTAATTTGAGATTATAATAAAGCTTGCAAATACTATCTTATAATCCATTATTTTAACCAGATAACAACTTAACACTATTTGCATAAACAAAGAAAAAGAAAACTAATACAAAGTCTATGCCTTAACTTTGTCCCCCAACTTTTTAACTTTTCATTGTTTCTACTCATATCTTATTGTAGTGACAATGTTTTAAAAAGTTGTTGTAGTTATTGTTGATTGATTCATCATTTAGCCTTTCTCCTTAGTATAAGAGTAGTTTACACCTCACAGTTACAGCGTGTTATAATATTCTGTGTTTTCCTTTGTACTTACTATTACCAGTGATTTTTGTACCTTCAGGTGATGATTTATTGCTCATAAATGTCCTTTTCTTTATGATTGAAGTACTCCCTTCAGCATTTCTTGTAGGGCAGGTCTGGTATTAATGAAACCCATCAGCTTTTATTTGTCTGGGAAAGTCTATTTCACCTTCATGTTTGAATGATATTTTCAATGGATATACTATTCTAGGGTAAAAGGTTTTTTTTTTTTGTTTTTTTGTTTTTTTGTGTTTTTGTTTTTTCCTTCAGCACTTTAAATATATCATGCCACTTTCTCCTGGCCTGTAAGGTTTCCACTGACAAATCTGCTGCCAGATATATTGGAGTTTCATTGTATGTTATTATTTTTTTTTCTCTTGCTGCTTTTAGGATTCTTTCTTTATCCTTGACCTTTGGGAGTTTTATTACAAAATGTCTCCAGATAGTCTGCTTTTGGTTAAATCTGCTTGGTGTTCTATAGTCTTCTTGTACTTGGATATTTATATCTTTCTCTAGGTTTGGGAAGTTCTCTGTTTTTATCCCTTTGAATAAACTTTGTCCACTATCTCTTTCTCTACCTCCTCTTTAAAGCCAGTGACTCTTAGATTTGCCCCTTTGAGACTATTTTCCAGATCTTCTAGGCATCCCTCACTGTTTTTTATTCTTTTTTCTTTTTGTCTGCTCTGTGTATTTTCAAATAGCTATCTTCAAACTCACTAGTTCTTTATTCTGCTTCATCAATTATGCTATTAAAGGACTCTGATGCATTTTTCAATATGCCATTGCATTTTTCTGCTTCAGGATTTCTGCTTAATTCTTTTAAATTATTTCAATTTCTTTGTCAAATATATCTCATAGGATTCTGACTTCCTTCCTTGTGTTATCTTGAATTTTTTTGAGTTTCCTCAACACAGCTATTTTGAATTATCTGTCTGAAAGGTCATATATCTGTGTTTCTTCAGGACTAGTCCCTGGTGCCTTATTTAGTTTATTTGGTGAGGTCATGTTTTCCTAGATGGTGTGAATGCTAGTAGATGTTCTTCAGTGTCTGGGCATTGAAGGGTTAGGTATTTATTGTAGACTTTACTGTCTGGGCTTATTTGTAGTCATCTTTCTTGGGAAAGCTTTCCACATATTTGAAAGGACTTGGGTATTGTTACGTAAGCAGTATCTGCTTTATGGGTCACCTCAAGCCAGTAACCTTGAAATTCTTGCAGACTTGGAGGGGTACCACCTTGATAGTCTTGGGCAACGTCCAGGAGAATTCTCTGGATTACCATGCAAAGACTCTTGTTCTCTTCCCTTATGTCCTCCCAAACAGACAGCATCTCTCTTTCTGTCCTAAAGCTGGGGGTGCAATGACACAAGCACCCTTGTGGCCACCACTACTATGACTGCACTGGGTCAGACCTGAAGCCAGCATGGCACTGGGCCTCACCCAAGGCTGGCTGTAACCACTTTCTGGCTACTGCCTATGTTCGTTCAAGGCCCTGGGGCTCTATAATCAGCCAGTGACAAAGCCCGCCAGGCCTGTGTACTTCCCTTGAGGGTAGCAAAGTCCCCCAGACTCTGGATGGATCCAGAAGTTTCATCTGGGAGTCAAGGACTTCTAAGGTTTTTAAAGTCTACCTGGTGTTCTGTTTTACTGCAGCTAAGCTGACACTCAAAACAAAAGATGCAGTTCTTCCCACTCCTCCCTCCCCTTATCAAAAGCAGAGTAGCCTTACCCCATAGCCACTGCCACCCTAGGCCACAAGGAGTACTGCCAGACTACCACAAATGTTTCCTTAAGGCCCAAGGTCTCTTAAGTCATCTTGTGGTGAATGTTTCCTGGCCTAGCACTCACCCTTCAGGGCAGTGGGCTCCCCACTGGTCCAGAAAGGGTCCAGAAATGCCACCCAAGAGTCAAACCCTGGAATCAGAGACCTCAAGAGCCCACTTGCCATTCTCTCCTTCTGTGGCCGTCTTAGTATTTAAGGTGCAAGACAAAGTCCCCTTTTCTTTTCCATCCACTTTTCTCAAGCAGAAGGATTTTTGTCCTGTAGCCACCATAGCTGGTAATGTGTTGAGTCTCAACTGAAGCCAACAAGGCTCGCCCATGGCTCATGATGTTGTACCTGGGTATTGTTGCTGGTTATTCAAGGTCCAGGGGCTCTTTAGTTAGCAGGTAATGAATACTGGCAGGACTGGGTCCTTTCATTCAAGGCAGTGGGTTCCCTTCTGGCCCAGAGTGTGTCTAGAAGTGTCATCTGGGAGCTAGGGCCTGAAACACGGGCCTCACGACTCTTACCAGTGCCCTATCCTGCTATAAATGAGCTGGTATCCTAGAAGCAAGACAAAGTCCTCCCCACTTTTCCCTCACCTCTCCTGAAGAGGAAGTAAAAGGTCTCTTTTGGAACTGCATGCTGTGCAGCCTGGAGTTAGGGGAGGGGTGATGCCTGCACTCTCTTTTCTGCCCCAACTGGTGTCTTAGTATGTTCCATTCCTCCACTCCCCCAGTCCACCATCTCTGGGCCTAGTTCAGCACTGAAACTCACCTAAGCATTGCAGTCCTTATAGCCTAGACTGCCTTTCAAGTTTACTTGGAGACAAAGAGTGCTGTAGCACTCAGTGGTAAGGTTTGTAGGCACTCAAGTTTGTACCACTTGGACTGGCAATTCCCCTTGGCTGGAGGTGGTTTAAATGCTACCTCCATGGGCAGACATCAGCTGAGTTTGGTCTGGTTTTTCTTCCTGCTCTAATAGGACAGCACTGAGTTCAGTGCCTTACAATTGCTGTGTTCTCCCAGGTCGAGAGATGCTCTCCATATCCCATCACAACAGCTAGGGGGTTGGGGAGAGGTGGTGTTGGTGATTAAGGACCGTTTTTTCTATCTCTTCAGTGCCTCTTTCAATGACATAAAGTTAAAACCAGGCACTTGAGTGCTCAACTGATTTTTTGTTCTTATGATGATGAACTTTTTTTTTTTATACTTTAAGTTTTAGGGTACATGTGCACAATGTGCAGGTTAGTTACATATGTATACATGTGACATGCTGGTGCACTGCACCCACTAACTCGTCATCTAGCATTAGGTATATCTCCCAATGCTATCCCTCCCCCCTCCCCCCACCCCTCAACAGTCCCCAGAGTGTGATGTTCCCCCTCCTGTGTCCATGTGTTCCCATTGTTCAATTCCCAATGAGTGAGAATATGCGGTGTTTGGTTTTTTGTTCTTGCGATAGTTTACTGAGAATGATGATTTCCAATTTCATCCATGTCCCTGCAAAGGACATGAACTCATCATTTTTTATGGCTGCATAGTATTCCATGGTGTATATGTGCCACATTTTCTTAATCCAGTCTATCATTGTTGGACATTTGGGTTGGTTCCAAGTCTTTGCTATTGTGAATAGTACCACAATAAACATACGTGTGCATGTGTCTTTATAGCAGCATGATTTATAGTCCTTTGGGTATATACCCAGTAATGGGATGGCTGGGTCAAATGGTATTTCTAGTTCTAGATCCCTGAGGAATCGTCACACTGACTTCCACAATGGTTGAACTAGTTTACAGTCCCACCAACAGTGTAAAAGTGTTCCTATTTCTCCACATCCTCTCCAGCACCTGTTGTTTCCTGAGTTTTAATGATTGCCATTCTAATTGGTGTGAGATGATATCTCATTGTGGTTTTGATTTGCATTTCTCTGATGGCCAGTGATGGTGAGCATTTTTTCATGTGTTTTTTGGCTGCATAAATGTCTTCTTTTAAGAAGTGTCTGTTCATGTCCTTGGCTCACTTTTTGATGGGGTTGTTTGTTTTTTCCTTGTAAATTTGTTTGAGTTCATTGTAGATTCTGGATATTAGCCCTTTGTCAGATGAGTAGGTTGCGAAAATTTTCTCCCATTTTGTGGGTTGCCTGTTCACTCTGATGGTAGTTTCTTTAGCTGTGCAGAAGCTCTTTAGTTTAATTAGATCCCATTTGTCAATTTTGTCTTTTGTTGCCATTGCTTTTGGTGTTTTAGACATGAAGCCCTTGCCCATGCCTATGTCCTGAATGGTAATGCCTAGGTTTTCTTCTAGGGTTTTTATGGTTTTAGGTCTAACGTTTAAGTCTTTAATCCATCTTGAATTGATTTTTGTATAAGCATTCCATTTGAAAACTGGCACAAGACAGGGATGCCCTCTCTCACCACTCCTATTCAACATAGTGTTGGAAGTTCTGGCCAGGGCAATTAGGCAGGAGAAGGAAATAAAGGGTATTCAATTAGGAAAAGAGGAAGTCAAACTGTCCCTGTTTGCAGACGACATGATTGTATATCTAGAAAACCCCATTGTCTCAGCCCAAAATCTCCTTAAGCTGATAAGCAACTTCAGCAAAGTCTCAGGATACAAAATCAATGTACAAAAATCACAAGCATTCTTATACACCAGCAACAGACAAACAGAGAGCCAAATCATGAGTGAACTCCCATTCACAATTGCTTCAAAGAGAATAAAATACCTAGGAATCCACCTTACAATGGACGTGAAGGACCTCTTCAAGGAGAACTACAAACCACTGCTCAATGAAATAAAAGAGGATACAAACAAATGGAAGAACATTCCATGCTCATGGGTAGGAAGAATCAATATCATGAAAATGGCCATACTGCCCAAGGTAATTTATAGATTCAATGCCATCCCCATCAAGCTACTAATGACTTTCTTCACAGAATTGGAAAAAACTACTTTAAAGTTCACATGGAACCAAAAAAGAGCCCGCATCTCCAAGTCAATCCTAAGCCAAAAGAACAAAGCTGGAGGCATCATGCTACCTGACTTCAAACTATACTACAAGGCTACAGTAACCAAAACAGCATGGTACTGGTACCAAAACAGAGATATAGATCAATGGAACAGAACAGCACCCTCAGAAATAACGCCGCATATCTTCAACTATCTGATCTTTGACAAACCTGAGAAAAACAAGCAATGGGGAAAGGATTCCCTATTTAATAAATGGTGCTGGGAAAACTGGCTAGCCATATGTAGAAAGCTGAAACTGGATGATGTCTTTTTTAGGTAGATAATTTTTACTAGATGTCCTTACAGGGGTATGATTGGTGGAGCTTTCTATTTCACCATCTTGTTTTGGCTGCTCGGTTTATTTTTCTTTATCTTAAACTATAGTGGAAAGAATTTAATAAAGTAAATTGAAAAAGTACATTATTCAGACTCAAGGATCAGGGTTTATGTCATTCTTCTTCTTTCCAGTTGTACTACTGTATTAGTCAGGGTTCTTGAGAGGGACAGAACTAATAGAATATATATATATATGTATATATATATATCTATGTATATATATACACACACATATATATACATATATATATACACATAGATATATATATACATATATATTAAGTACGTTAAGTAGTATTAGCTCATGCTATCACATGGTCCCACAATAGACCATCTGCAAGCTGAGGAGCAAAGAATCCAGTCCAAGTCCCAAAGCTGAAGAACTTGGAGTCTGATATTCAAGGGCAGGAAGCATCCAGCATGGGAGAAAAATGTAGACTGTAAGCCAGTCTAACCTTTTCATGTTTTTCTGCCTGCTTTATATCCTGGCTGTGCTAGCAGCTGATTAGATGGTGCCCACCCAGATTAAGGGTGGGTCTACCTTTTCCAGCCCTGTGACTCAAACGTTAATCTCCTTTGGCAACATCCTCACAGACACACCCAGGGTCAATACTTGCATTCTTTAATCCAATTGAGTTGACATTTAGTAGTATTAGCCATCATAACTAACTTGACCAAATCACTCGACTTCTCTGAACCTGGGTTTCCATATTTGTTAATCATGCCTGTAGTCTTGAGGCCTGAGGTGGAAGATTGCTTGAGGCCAGAAGTTTGAGACCAGCCTGGGAAACATAGTAAGACACCATCTGTAAAAACAAAATTCAAAAATTAGCTGGGTATGGTGGTGCATACCTGTAGTCCCAGCTACTTGGGAGGCTGAGGTGAGAGGATTACTTCAGCCAAGGAGTTCAAGGCTGAAGTGAGCTGTAATCACACCACAGTACTCCAGCTTGAGTCACAGAGTGAGAGTCTGCCTCTAAAATATAAACAAAGAAACAAACAAATAAAGAAATAGGAATCATAACACTTATATCACAGAGTGCTCGTATTGATCAAATGAAGTGCAGATGTTAAGCATCTACTACAATGACTGTCAGTCACATTATGAGTACTCAGTAGGAATTTTTAAGAATGAAATTTAATTCCAAATTTACAATACAGAACTTGATGAAATAACCTGGGTTTCTTAGGTTTCTTTGAAGATGAGTGTTCTTTCTTTACATCCCACAATCTTAATAAAATGCTTGAGAATAAAGATTTATCACCAGTCAAGGAAAATAAAAACAGAAGCAGTTTCCTTCAAACAACAACTACGTTTTATTTCTTTGAGCTAATGGCATTCATATACACTGAATGTTTTCTTTATGAGCTGGAATCAAAGAACTACATTCTCCTGAATCAGCTGTCAATTTAGTGCACAAGATATTAATAAATATTTTCATTATGTCATGCCTATCTTGAAACAAACATATTCCACCCCCATTCTATTCTTCTGCCTTTTTTATTATAGATTTTCATTCATTTAGGAGTCAAATATTTCTCAAGAAATATCATGTATTTAATATTTAATTGCATTCTCTTCTGAGTATGCAAAAATTTTGCATGGTATATAACATTTTTTGAATGAGCATCTTGATTACTAGTATCAGTGGGTCACTTCTACGTACATGGGAACACTAATTCCTGACTCACATATTGTAAGTGAAAGAGAAGAAAGCCTTCAGCTATTCCAAATTATTATACAGTGTGAGTCATGACATTCTTCCATTAATAATTAATTTTATATGATAATTGCTATTCTTTTTAAAAAGTGAATTTTCTTGAAAAGAATATCACATTGAATTTTTAACAATTGTGCTTATACTTTTCAGCTTGTTACCCAAAATTCATAAGCAGCCTGAGATAAATAAATGTGCTGGATGCCCCATAGTCAGGGAAGCAGACAAGATAAAGGATGGCCAACAGGCAGATAATGAGAGAAGGTAGGCATGAGATGTCAAGGAAATATTTGCTTGTGTCAGTTTTGTGGGGGCTAGATAGGATCTTCATCCTTGCCATGACTGAACCTTATGGTTTAGAATATATTATGTTTATCTAGAGTTACCTCCTTTACATAAAAGTCTGGTTTATAAAAAAGTAGAAGGGAGTCATCAGTTTTTCTCCTGCAGTGTGGTTTCAGGATTCTACAGCCACCAATAATACAATTTTTTTCCATTTCTCTCAGTGTGTTCCAATCTTTTTAATCCATCAAGAATGATTCAGGTCTATTTTGTTTATAAAGTTTTACCTTGTCATGTGACCCATAGGGATTCCATGATGTTTTGAAACACTAATTTGACACTGATCTGTGGGACAATATCAAAAGGTCTAAATTCATGTTACTGGAAGATCAGCATTAGAACAGAGTGTAGTGCAGAAAAAAATTTTGAAGAAATAGTGACTGAAAACTTCCTAATTTTGGTAAAAGAAATAAATTTATAAATTAAAGATTTTAAAAATTAATTTAAAATTTTATTGATACCTAATATTTTACATATTTATGGGGTACATGTGATATTTTGTTGCATGCATATAATGTGTAATGATTGAGTCAGGGTATTTGGGATATCCATCACCTTGAGTATTTATCATTTCTATGTTGTGTGAACATTTCACGTTCTATCTGGTAGCTACTCTGAAATATACAATACAGTGTTGCTAATTATGGTCGCCCTACTGAGCTATCAAACAGTGAAACTTACACCTTGTATCTAACTGCATGCTTGTGCCCATTAGCCAACCTCTCTTCATTTCTTCCTCCCACCCACACACCTTTCCCAAGCTCAGGTATCTATCATTCTACTCTACACTTCCATGCGATCAAATTTTTTAGCTCCCAATTCGAGTAAGTATATGTAAAATTTGTCTCTCTGGGTCTGGCTTATTTCACTTAACATAATCTCTAGTTTCATCCACGTAGCTGCAAATGACATAATTTTATTCTTTTGATGGCCAAATAGCATATCTACCCCTTTTCTCTATCTATTCATCATTGATGGACACTTAGATTGATCCTGTATCTGTGTTATTTTGTACAGTGCTGTGTGCTGTAATAAATATGCAACTACAGGTGATACAGTGTTGATACAGGTATCACTTTGCTATACTGATTTCTTTTCCTTTGGATCAATATCCAGCAGTGAGGTTGCAGGATCATATAATAGTTCCATGTTTAATTTATTAAGAAATCTCCATAATGTTTTCCATAGTGGTTGCACTAATGTACATTCCCACCAATAGTGTGTAACAGTTCCCTTTTCCCCATGTCCTCACCAGCATCTGTTACTTTTTGTCTTTTTAATAATAGCCATTTTATCTGGTAAGGTGATATCTCATTGATGTATTGATTTGCATTTTTCTGATGATTAGTCATAGTAAGGATTTTTTTTCATATACCTGTTGGCCATTTCTACATCTTCTTTTGAGAAATGTTTATTCATATCCTCTGGCCACTTTTAATAGAATTATTTGTTTTACTGTGTTCTCTGTTGAGTTGTTTGAGTTCCTTGTCTATTCTGAATATTAGTCCCTTGTCAGATGAATAGTTGGCAAATATTTTCTCCCATTCAACAAGATGTCTCTTTACCCTATGGATTGCTTTCTGTGTAGAAACTTTTGAGTTTAATATAGTTCCAATTTGCCTTTTTTTGTTTTAGTTGCCTGTGCTTTTGAGGTCTTTCCCATAAAATGTTTGCCTAGACCAATGTCCTGAAGTGTTTTCCCTATGTATTCTTCTAATAGTTTTATAGTTTTGGGTCTTACTTTTTTGCCATTAATCCATCCTGAGTTGTTTTTTGTATATAGTGAGATATAGGCTTTCAAGTTTTATTCTTCTGCATGTGGATATTCATTTTTCACATAATGAATTATTAAAGAGGGTGTCCTTTCCCCAGTGTAAGTTCTTGATGCCTTTGTCAAAAATCAGTTGTCTATAAATATTTATTTCTGGGTTCTCTGTTTTATTTCATTGGTCTATGTGTCTTTTTCCATACCAATAGCATGCTGTTTTGGTTACTATATGTAATATATTTTGAAGTCAGGTAATGTTATGCCTTCAGCTTGGGTGACTTTGCTCAGGATTGCTTTGGCTATTTGTCTTGATTTCATACACATTTTATGATTGTTTTTCTCTAATTCCATGAAAAATGACATTGTTTTTCAGCACGTTGAATATATCATCCCATTTTCCACTGGCCTGTAAGTCTGCTGAGAAATCCGCTGTTAAACTGATGGGGGTTCTTTTATAGGTGACTAGACACTTTTCTTTTGCTGTTTTTAAAACGTTCTCTTTGTCTTTGACTAGATATAATGTGTTCTAAAACAGAATTTTTTGTATTATATTTATTTGGGGATCTTTTAAACTTCCTGAATCTGGATATCTAAATCTCTTGCTAGACTTGGGCAGTTTTCACCTATGATTTCATTACATAGGTCTTCTAACCCTTTCATTATCTCTTTGCCTTTTAGGACACCAAAAATCTGAATATTTTGTTACTTTGTGATGTTCCATATATCATGAAGACTTTGCTCATTCATTTTTATTCTTTCTTCGTTATAATTACCTGATTGGATTATTTCAATAGACCTATTTTCAAGTTCTGAGGTTCTCTTTTTTTGCTTGAGACATTGTATTGTTGAAGATGCTGAATGTATTTTGTATTTTATTCAGTGAATTTTTTAGTTCCAGAATTTCTGGAGTTTTTCCTTTTGTATGATATCTATCTCTTTGATACATTTCTCATTCATATTCTGAATTGTTTTTATGATTTATTTGTTTTGTTTTTCAGAATTATCTTTTATCTCACTGAGCTTCTATATTATGCATATTTTGAAATCTTTTTCTGGGATTTTATGAATTTCTTTTTTATTGGTATCTGTTGCTGGAGAATTATTGTGTTCCTTTGGAGATGTCATATTTCCTTGTTTTTTCATGTTTCCTGTGTTTTTACATTGATATATGTGCTTCTGGTATAATTGTTGCTTCTTCCAGTTTTTGAATTTGCTTTCATTGCGAAGGACATTTTTCTGAAAATGTATCTGTGGTGTTGGTTGGATAAAACATTTTAGTTTTGCTTCTGGCTGCATTCAGTACTGTAGTCTTTGTATAATTTCTTTGGCTATAAACAGTGTCAGTGGTGTCTATGATTTCCTTGGTGGCTGAGGGTATGGTTATTAGTGGAGGCTGTGGTGAAGTTTTTCTGGGCACCTGACTTCCAGGTGGGCCAGTCTTCAGGCCCTAGAGATAGCACTGGTAGGTTTAGCATGCCTGTCGTTGAGTGGTGTATGCTGGCACTGGTGTTACCAAGTCTAGGCAGGCTGATTATTAGGCCTCTAGGTGGCTTGCTCATGTTCTAGGAATGACAGTCGTGGTTTGGGTAGATGGGTGGGTTCTTGAACACTTAAGAATTGAATGTGGCATGGGTGATGACAGTAGCAGTGGTGGGACAATGCCTAGGACCAAAGCGGTGCATGTGAGTATGTGTAGTGGTTGCAACAGGTTGGACAGGCTGGTGCCCAGACCTAAAGTAGTTTATGCAGGTTGTTGCCAGTAGTGGTGGTAGCAGCAGATTGAGTGGTCCTGATCTCAGACCCCAGGAGAATTCAGGTGCCACTGGTGGATTGGACTGGGCTTCATGTCTCTGGACAGTATGCTTAGGTACTATGGGGGAGAAGCTTGGTGAACCTGGACCTACCTTCAGGCCCCTTGGTGGTGAATTGTTCATTAAAGTGTTAGCTGTGGTAAGCAGAGACATGGTTATCCCCAGGTAGCTGATAGAATGCTCAAGGGGTACTCCAGAGGCTGTACCGAGACCCTGTTACTGGAAAGGGTAAGCTTGCTTTCCCTGGGAGCAGCCGCAAACAAGCAGCTGTGGGGCATCAATTTCACTTGTGCCTCAGCTATGCAGCAGCCCACAGCAGTGGCAGTTGCTGGCAGTGGAATTTGTCCTTGGGACACATGAAAATGTGAGGCAGTACCTGTGCTGGGGTCGGGGGAATGTGTGGGATCATTGTTCATGGTTCATGCCTCAGCCCAGGTGGCAGTGTAGGATACTGACTGGCAAACACTGTGTTCTTATAACAGCACCATGCTGCAACTGCTTAGGACATAGGGGTTTGTGGTACCCCGTATGAGCACTCTCTCTAGAGCAATGCCTTCACACAGTCTCCAGGCAGCTTTTTTATGTTAATCCTGGGACCTGTGAGGGTTAAGGGGCTCTTCCACTCCTGGAATTGTAGGAGTCTGTGGCAGGAATGTGGAATACTGAGGGTCTCTCTCTTACCTTTTCCCCGTATTAAGGAGCTACTTCAATTCCCAGCCAATCCCAGGCAAACATGCTGCCTCATTTCTCTCTTTGCTTTTGGTGCTTTCTGTCACTTTTCTATTGAATGTCAGAGTTCTCTCTTAGATAACCTATTCCAAATATGATTGTCTATTCGTTATTTTGGTTCCTCTTCATGGAAGATGTATCTAGTCAGCCATCTTGAAGCCCCTCCATTAAATGGTTTTTGAAAAAGCCCTTAATGTATAAACTCAAGGAATCCTACACTCAGACATAGGATGATCCAACTTGTGGAAATCAAAGGGGAAAAACATGGAAATGATACATTACCTTTAGAGGAACAAGAATTCATGTAATAGTGGATTTATATAATAGTGGATTTCTTATGTGAATCCACAGAGGCAGTAACACATTTGTCAAGTGATGAAAGAAAATAATTATCAATCCAGAATTCTGTATAAACAAATTCATTAAAGAGTGAAGGTGAAATAAAAACATTCTCAGATGAAGAAAAACAAAGAAACTCTGTCATCAGCAGATTTATACTGAAAGAAATGTTATAGGAAACTTCAGGGTGGGACAAATTTCAGAAATGAAGGGAGAATAAAAAAGATTGTAACAATCTGGTTAAGTGTATTAAAATATATTATAATTTTAAATAGGATAGGTATGACATATTAAAAATTATAACATTATCTGGTGGGTTTTGTGAATGTATGTAGATGTAATATATATGACAACAACAAAAAGGAGAAAGAATAAAGGACTGTGGTGGCAAGATTTGCAAATTCAAACTGCAGTGATAAAACATTAGTTTCAAGTGGATTGTAAAGTAAGCATTTATATTATAATCCTTAGAGAAATCGCTGAGTATATTGAACAAAAATATAGTAAAAAACTCATTAAATAAAAATGCAATAGCAAAAAGGATTTAAAAATTCAACCAAAAAGCAGGAGAAGGAAAAATAAAAACTAAAAGCAAAGAGGACAAATAGATATCAAGTAATAAAATACTAGCATACATTCAAGCATATTAATAATTACATCAAATGTAAATGATCGAAACACACCAAGTGAAAGATTGTCAAATTGGATTAAAAAAACAAAGCCCAATTATAAGTTGTATATGATAAAGCTACTTTAAATATAATGGTATATATAGTTTAAAATAAAAACAGTTTAAAAAATCACATGCAAAAACTAATCAAAAGAAAGCTCAAGGAGCCACAGTAATATCAGACAAATTGCATGTCAGCCCAAAGAAAATTATCAGGAATAAGAAGAAAACAATATGATAGAAGGGTTTATTTAAGAAGATATAATAACCCTAAGTGTATAGGCACCTCACAACAGATATTTAAAATACATGAAACAAAATTGATACAATTTAAAGGATAAATAAGCGAAATCACAATTATAGGTGGCAGGTTTAACAATAGTGCAAACATAATGAAATCCATATGGATAAAGATGATTGGAAAAACACCATCAACCAGTTAGATCTTATATTTATAGATCATTACACATAACAACAGCAGAATCCACATTACTTTCAAGTGCACATAGAACATTTATCACAGTAGATTTAACATCATGAGTCACAAAATAAATGTCAATAAATGTAAAGAATTGAAATTACACAGTTTGTTTTTTTGGCCACAATATAATTGAACTAGGGATCTATAGCAGAAATACATGAACAAAATTCTCAAATACTTGGAAATTAAACAAAGATCAAAGGAATTTTCAAGAAATAAGAATATATTTTTAATTGAAGGGAAATTAGAATATAATACATCAACATTTATGGGATGAAGTTAAAACAGTTCTTAGAGGGAAATGTACAGTTTTAAATATTACTGATATAAAAGAAAGACTTTGAATAATTATTTTTTATCTAAAAAAATCAGAAAAAAAGTAGCATAAACCCATAGCAAGCAGAAGGAAAAATAATAAGAAAAAGATTAAAAAAATCAATGAAGTTGAAATCAGGGAAAAAATAGAGAAATCAATGAAACCGAATTTTGTTGTGATAGTTAGTTAATTTTATGTGTCAACTTGGTTGAGCCATATTGTCCAGATATTTGGTCAAACATTATTCTGGATGTTTCTGTGAAGGTTTTTTTTAGATGTAACTTACATTTAAATTGATAAACTTTAAGTAAATCAGATTGCCTGTCATAATTTGGGTGGGCCTTATCCAATCAGCTGAAAGTTCTTAAGACCTCATCTGAAACATAAGCTCTTCCTAGTTTTCTAGCAGACTGCCTTCAGATTCCATTTGCAGCACTTTTCAACTGACTGTCTATGGACTCAAACCACCACTTTTTCCTGAGTCTCCAAACTGCCAACCTTTCTCAGTGGATTTTAAACTTGCAAAGCCTTCACAGTCATGTGGGCCAATTCATTCATATAAATAAATAAACAAATATCTTCTGTTATTTATATTTCTGTGAAGAACTTTGACTAACATACTTGTTCTTTGGAAAAAAATCAATAAAACTAATAAACATACAGTAAGATTCAATTTCATAGAGAGGGCACAAATAACTAATATCAGGAATGGAAGAAAGCATATCACTACAGACCATGCAGACATTAAAAAAGGAAGAGAATATTATTAAAAACTCCTTGAACATAAATTGAACAACTTAGATGAAATAATACATTTCTTAAAGTCACACATTATCAAAATTACCTGAGAAGAAATAAATAACCTGAATAGTCCAAACTTTTAAAGAATAAAATAGTAACACAAATTCTATGCAATCTCTTTATAAATTAGAAGTAGAGGTAAAACTCATTTTATTCCAACATTACACAAATTCTAAAATCAGTCGAAAAACTCACAAGGAAAGACAGTTAACAACAGATATATATTTATTATGAATGTAATCACAAAAATCCTCAATAAATATTGTAAATCTAATGAAACAATATATGAAAAGACTAATATATCACCACAAAGTAGGATTTATCCTGGGAATGGATGGCTGGTTAAACATTTGAAAATTAATATAATCTACCATCTTTATAGACTAAACAAGAAAAATCACAGATTCTTATCAATTGGTGTAGAACATACTACTGACAAAATTCAATATCAATTCATGATAATAACTGTCAGCAAACTAAAAATAGAAGGAGCCATTGTTAACACTGATACAATAAATTTGAAAAACGTCTACAACAAACATCATATTTTATGGTGAAAAACTGAATAATTTCTTCCTCAGCTTAGGGACAAGGCAAGCATGTCCATGCTTACCGCCTATTCAACATCATACTAAACATTCTAAAGAGTAAGATATTACAAGAAAAATAATTGAAGGCATGCAGATTATGGAAAAGAAAGAAACACTGCCCCTATTTTAAATTAGCAAGATTATCTCTGATGAAAACCTTACACAATCCACAGAAAAAGCTCCTAGAACTATTAAGCGAAGTTAACAAGTTCATATCATGCATAAAAAATCATCCAACAAAAATTAGCCATATTTCTACAAATCAACGTTAGAAAATTGGAAACTGAAATTAAGAAAACAATACCACCTACAATAGCTGTATGAAAGATAAAATATTTAGGTATAAATATAATCAATATGCACAGATTCTCCTGAAAAATATACAACACTAATGAAATAAATAAAAAATCTAAATAAATGAAGAAAAGTATGTTTATTTATGGATTAAGATATTCTATGTAGTTAGGATGTCAATTTTTCCAAAAAAGTTTAATAGATTTAATGCAATGCAAACTAAACTCCCAGAAATGTTTCTGTAAACGTAAATAAGCTGATTCTAGAATTTATATGGAAAGCCAAGGAACTAGAATAATCAAAACAACGTTTAAAAGGTCAACAAATGTAAAAGAAGCAGTAACCCAATTTTGATCCTCAGTAAACAAGACAATGTGGTATTGGTGAAAGAAAGAACAGACAGATCAATAAAACAGAAGAGAGAGTACAAAAAAAGACACATATAAATACGGTCTACTAATTTTTGACAGAGATACAAATGCAATCTATTAGATAATAGATAGTTTTTAAAAAATAAATGGCGTTGATGGTAGTGATTCATATCAGACACAATAGACTTACAGACAAGGATTATCGGAAAAGATAAAGAGAGAGCATTTCAAGATGACAAAAGAGTGGATTGAGCAAGAAAATATAACAATCCTAAATACGTGTGCACTTAATTAACAGGGGCTCAGAATATATGGACTAAAAACTGGCAACACTAAAAAGAAAAACAAATTCACAGCCATGATTGGAGATTTTAACAGCTTTTATTGATAATTGATAGAGCAATAGAAATAAAATCACTAAGGATATAGTTAATTGGAACAACACTATCAATCACCTTGATCTTTTTGACATTTATAGTAAACCACGCCCAACAACTGCAGAATACATATTATTTTCAAATGTACATGGAATGCTGGCCCAATTGGAACATATGTTGGGTCATAAAACATGTTGCAATAAATTGAAAAAGGTTGAAATATGATCTAACCACAGTGAAATTAAATTAGTTACTAATAACAAAATTATATTTGGAAAACCTCCAAATATTACTAACAATACCAATTTAAATGAATCACATATCAAAGAACAATTACAAGGGAAATAGAAAATAATTTGGAACGGAATGGTAATACAAATAAAAATTTATGGGATGATGCTAAGTTATTGGCTAGAGAAATTTACATCTTTATTTACATTAAAAAGAAGAAAGGCATGAAAAATAATCTAGCTTCTACAGTAAGAATTTAAGAAAAAGAGAGAAAATTAAATCCAAAGTAGATAGAAGAAAGAAAATAATAAAAATAGGAGCAAAAAGAAATGTTGATAGAAAATTGCAGAGAAAGTTATTGAGTCAAAAGTTTATGCTAAAACTAATAACATTTTAAAAACTGCTAGCCAAACTAATAAGGGATAAAATACAAAACATAAATTAATAGTGTCAGAAATAGAAGGCTGTTACTACAGATCCTCCACATTTATAAACTAATAAAATGTTACGAACAATTTTATCCTCATAAAATTCCAGTAACTTAGATAAAATAGACAAATTGCTATTAATAATAAGACTCAAATTACCAAAATCTAACACATTGTAAAATAGAACATGTGAATATCCCTATATCTTATAAAAGAAATACATTTGTAATTAAAAACATTTCCACAAATAAGATTCCATTGTCGAATGTTTAGAAAAGACTTTCACTTGTACACAAACATTTTCAGAAAACTGTGGTAGAAGGCATAACCTTCATAGGAAAACCAAGCCAAGATCTAAGATTTATGTTCCAAATCCATTAGTATTTATATAGGATAATGATGTATTACATTATAACTATGTGGGTGGCATTCCAGGAAAGCTATGGTATTTTTAAATTTAAATAACAATATAATGTACCATATTAACAGAATAAATATTTGAATCACAATATTGAATGAATATTTGAATCACAATACTCGCAATATCTGTGATATAGGCAGTATCAAAATGCTAATTTGTCCAACCACCTCTGATGCAGGAAAATTTTACATGACATTTCTTTTTTTGAGTCATCAAATTTCTATCTAAGCATTTTCTATGTGATACTGCTTTTGTAAAATGGAAACAATCTGCATTTTAGAAACAGACAGTCCTGTGCTTGATTTATGGCTCTGTCAATAAATAGTAGTGCATTCATGGGCACGTTTCTTTACTTCTTTAGATCTCAACTTCATTATTCACATGGAGATATTTGACAGAGACTGCAAAAATTAGAAATAATGAATATGAAGCACCTGACATATTGTAGGCATTCAATAAATATTGAATGTTTTGAGTAAAACTTGGAAGGCAGCCAGGCACAGTGACTCAAGCCTGTAATCCTAGCACTTTGGGAGGCCAAAGCGGGAGGCTCATTTGACCCCAGGAGTGTGAGGCCAGCCTGGGAAACATAATGAGACCTCATCTCTCAAAAAATAAAGTAAAATAAATAGCTGAGGGTGGTGGCATGTGCCTGTAGTCCCAGTTACTCCAGAGGCTGAGGTGGGAGGATTGCTTGAGCATGGGAGATTTAGGTTGCAGTGAGCCAAGATCTCAACACTGCACTCCAGCCTGGGTGACACAGAGAGACCCTGTCTCAAAACAACACCAACAACGAAAACTTGGAAGGCATCTAATTCTCATAATATTAGCGTATAGTTCACATTAATGTTACAGAAATAAGGTCAGGTGCCTTTCAAGTTTTTTTCTTCACTACATTCAACATCTTAAATGTATGTTCTGTTTTTTTTCTCCTCTGACACTCTGACACCTAGAATAGTTCCTGAGATAAATGTCCACAATTGTTTGATATTATAGAAATGAAAAGTAGCTTATATCAGAAGTTTTCAACTTTTTGGTCTCATTATCCCTTTATACTATAAAAAATTGAGAGCCCCAAAGAGCTTATATTTATTTTGTCTGTATAGCTATATTACTTCCATTACCAATATAAAACAAATATTAATTCACAAAAAGTACTACTTGTTAAAATAAATGTATACTTTCCAAAAATAGTGAGAAAAATGGCATTATTTTATATTTTTGCAAACCTCTTTGAAGTCTGGCTTGCTAGACGTTAACTAGACTCTCATATCTGCTTCATCACCCAGTGAGTTCTAGTATGTAGTTTTAGCTGAAGTAAATGAAGAAAATCCGTTTGACACAGATCTGAATTGGAAGAAGTACATATTTCAGCAGCATTTTCAAATAATTATATATGCTGTTCTTTGATACCACACAAAAATGACGTAAGTGTAGTTTTGTCTAGGTTATTTGCAATGTAGAATCTGAAACCATGTAAATGAATTGTCACATTAAATTTCATTAGTCTAACTGTAGTCTCAAGGAATGTTTGACTCATGTATGGTATTGTAACATCATGCATGGATCACTCGAAAAATATTAGTTGATATTTAATATTTAATAATTTATGTGGATCTTCCATAGACACATTTTATTAGATAATATCATCAATAAATCACATTTGTTAATATCATTACTGAGCTCCATAGTAAAGTTTTTAAATATTGCAAAGTTTAAAAGTTAATACTGATGGACACAAGTTTGCCAAAATCTTAATTTTTGCTAGAAAGCCCTAATTTTATCATTGACTACAAATATTGGCCACTATTTTCTTCAAAATGGCAGGCTCACTTTGTCCATTTTTCAGAAAACGTCTGCCAAATACATCAGTCTGAATAACCATAGTTGCTCTATTTCTGTTCTATGAGAAAAGCAGTTAGATCAAAACAAAATCACACAAAATCAAGTGCTTTTTCTTGATACAACTATTGTACTTTGGTGTGCAGAACTACTTTACGTATATTTCCCGTTTTGTCACACAAAACATAAATAAGAAAGTACTCAAGGGTCAATACCTGATAAAGTTAGACATTGCTACAACTTTATCAAAGATGGTTTTATGTAAAACTGGCATTTACTAGTATGATAGAGATAAGTTACCAGTATACCTTGTTGCCACTGTTGTACTAGTAATTTTACTTCCCATTTAACCTCATTATTACCTAATAAAGTTATTATGTTGAAATTCCAAAATGTACCTTTTGTCTTTTTTATAAAATTGCAGGGTTTATCTAGGAATTTCAAAATAATGACTTTTTTGATAACAAACTTAGAGAGACTGGGAGGTATAATTGCAGATAGCCAGAGATAGTAAAAGAAAAGTACTGAGAACAAACTGAGTTAATCCCTGAGAAAGTATATATTTATACTATCTTAGAAAATTCCAGAAAACGTAAATATACATTCCATTAGCTATCAGATGGATAATGATAATGCCATCACACTACAGGTAGCCTCTGGAAAATTCCATGGTTACACTCATAAGAAAATAAGAGTGAAAATGTCAAATAACATTTTAGTGTTATGTAAATAGTTCTGACTGCACAAACTCCTTTAAAGAGTTTCAGGAACAGTTAGAGACTCCTACATCAAACTTTGAAAACTGCTGGCTAATATTCTTTCTAGAAAATTCTATAGGTTAGAAAATGCTACATTATGATGTGCTAAAATAAGCCTCCTGGTCCTAGTTTTTCCCTTTTTTCATGGTTAGAAATCCAGGGCTCTTCAAACCTGCATTGAAACCGAAAGAACCTTTTTAGTCCACCAAAAAGAACTGCGTATTACCACCTTCATTCAATGCAAGAGCCAGCTGAGGTGAAGTCGCCAGAGGCCAAGGACAGAAGCCGGGAGTAAAGCATCACCACACAGCCTTCAATCACCAACGGTTTTGAATTGTTTGATCAGGCCATTTCTTATGGCCTTTTCATCTATCATTTTTATGCCTCTCTGTTTCTTTTTTCAAGATTTTGTTTTTGTGTAATGTTGCTGGGTGTTCTGTCCTCGATTTCCTTGTCACACAAGTGAAGGAAGTGTTCCATCTGATATGAAGCCACATGTCAGCACCTGTTTTCTGGACTGATTTGTTCATCATTTTCATTTCTGTTTGCCAACACTGCAGGGTCTTTTCTGTCAACAGCAACAACACATCTGTGCTCTCTGTGCCTGGTATTCACTTTCATGGATGTCAAAATCCAGGGTCTGATGAGTGCCCTTGAGGTTCAGCCCATCACTTAAGGAGTGCTTCTGTTTCAATGCCCAATTTTTTGGCTAACTGAAGTTGTGGTTAAGCCTTGTTGAAATATCAAATTTGACTGTCTGTTTGGGTGGATAATCTAATGGGAAAATGGAGGTAATTTTTCTCCAACACCGGGAGAAAATTATGCTCTTACCACATTTGCAAAAGGACATCTTGTTTTAGGCTCAAACATCAGTGTAATCCATTGCAATCCCATCTGACATAGCAATTATGTATTAAGACCCCACCAGTCATAGGCATTGTGTCTATATTGCGCTGAGATCTTTGAAACATAAGCAAAGGATTAAATTTGGAGACAGAGGTAACACAGAAAGATTGGAACTCCTCACTTGGCTAGTGCAGGTGACTTTAGGCTTTTGTGGCACTTTAGTAAGCATAGTCCATAGGTATTTTCTTTAACTATGGTGGTTTACAGCGATTTATGTTGAGTTAGGCAGAATATCTTTTATAATCATGCAGATAGTTTTTAACTGATGTGGCCTAAGTAGCTTTAAGCCTCAGGTTCCAGTATGCATGCAAGACTTTAACCTCGGTAGATCACTGTAAGGTTTGGTACATTATTTGAGTAAGTGTTGTTTTTATACAGGGAAGGGTGCAGGTGCAAATTGTAACAAATGTCAGCTGTAAGGGCTTAGTGTACTGGCCAAATGCAGCTGACCTTGAACTACATAGTACTCCTTAGTTTGTTATCGTAGGCAAGTTTAGAATAGAAATAAAATCACGCACATACAAGATATCTTAAATCATAAAAATATCAGACAAACCAAAATTGAGGGACATTCTAAAAAATATTGGGCCTTTTTCATCAAAAATGTTAATGTTAATATTATAAAAGAGAAAATGAGCCTAAGTATCTTAGAGTAAAGGAGAATAAAAGATAAATAAAAGAATAAAGGAGAATATAAAGGATATAAAAAGAATAAAGGAGAATGCCAGAGTAAAGGAGAATAAAGAGAAACAAAAACTAACACAGTTGTTAATCTTGGATTGGATCTTGTGTTGAGGAAAAAAAAATTTCTATAAAGGAAAACATTGCTTTAATTTAGAAAAAGTTGAGTATGGATTGTATATTAGATAATAGTATTGAATTCTAAATTTCCTGAAATTGATAATTTAACTTTAGTTATGTAAGAGAATCCCCTTGTTAGGAGATACATTATCTGTTCTACAGTTTTTAGAAATAAAATGTCTCAATTTTTACACTTTATTCTCAAATCTTTTCTCAAAATTAATGAAAATATATTATATATTTACATATAGATGTGTGTGTATGTGTGCGTATGTGTATATGTGTGTGAATGTGTATGTGTGTGTGAAGAAACAGGAAGAGAAAGAAGAGAGCAAATGTGGCTAAATATTAACAATAGGCAAACCTAGATGAAGAATGTGAGTGTGTGTGTGTGTGTGTGTGTGTGTGTGTGTTCTTTGTAATATTCTTACAATTTTCTTTCTAGGTCTGAGTTTTTTAAAAAATAAATTGAACAATTGAAAAACAGTCTCTTTCTCTTCCCCCAGAAAGGCTTACTTGCCAGCCAGCATTGTAAAAAATTAATTGCTGTTTTTACCCTGTTTTTAAATCAAATGTTTGGCAGGGATATGGGCCTAAAACTGGATTAGCAGTTGAGATGCCTCTGCTTCAGAGCCTTTTTGAGGTTCTAGCTTTAAATCTTTAGTGCCAAGCCTTTTTAGGTACAGTTGCAACATCTTTGCCAAATTCAAGAATCACCCATCATCGCATGATTATAACTTGTAATGGATTTTTCCTTTTATACAAGTTCTGAACTTGATTTCAGTCAACTGAAGTGGTGCATCCCCAATAATGTGAAGGATTTTGTTCATAAACAAATAAAAAATGAATGTGCTCCCTAATTTTAAAGATAATATATTTTACTTGGTAAATGTATAGCATGAAATCAAAGAAATTCTAGCAAATCCAAAGGTACCCAAGGTATTTAAATATATTGTGTTTCTAACAATCACATTTGCCTAAAAAACAAGGGAAGAACTGGCATATTTAAAAATACTCTTCAGTATTCTCATTAGAACAGATGCACAGAAAAGTATCTGAGTAAATGAAGGGGAGTAAATGAACCTAAGCTAACTAGCTTGAAGAAGAAATACATTTCTTTAGGGCTTGGAAATGATAAAGATATTAGAGGACACATTATTCATAGAAGGAAAAGAAAATGAGATCTTAAAGACTAAGGGAGATATAGGAAAAAGGATAATTGTAGCCATATCTAGTTATTCTTGTAGAGGGTGTTAGAAGAGAGAGAGAGATGCTGTTATAAGCAGAAAAGGGAAGTGGAATCCAAAGTAAACAGCAAAAGAAAACATGCAAATTCTCAGTCTATCAGCTCCCCAGAAGGAATCAGGTTCTGGGGACTACTAAGAAACATACTTGTAAAGCTGTAATTTGAGAATTCAGAGTAAGAACAGTTACATATACTACCTATACTCCCAAGAGCTAAACTAGAAAGTTACAAATTACACAGGATTGGGATGGAGATATCAGAAAATCCTATTAGAATACAGACTTTAAGAACTGCTGGGTGATCTTCAAGTTGTCAACAATATCGTGGTTAGCTTGCAGTTGCTGAGTGTGCCCTGAGAAAATTATGCCCCCAAATTTTGAAAATATAACTCTGGGGTAGACATAGCTAAGATAAGGCAGATTAAGGGGAGACAAGAAAGTCAAAAATAAATTGACATCAGACCTAGGCAAAATACTTGTCCAATGGGATAATAATCTCTGGGCGATATTGTCCAGCTCAGAGAAATAAGACTGACAAGATATATTTCTTCACCGGTTGCTTTGGTATGCTCACAATTCATTGACTTCATATATCTCACTATAGGACAATAGAAAAGATAAATAAGAGGAATATGTAGAAAATTGAATTTTTCTCTCTTTGGGAATAAGGAGAAGAGAAGGTAAAACGAAAGAGAGCTTTTGGTTCCATCTCACATTACACATATTAGGGAAACTAAAAGACCAATCCAAGGAGCAGGTAAAGCTATTATGAACACAATTGAGTCCTTCCTAAAAGGTGTGTATAAAAGGCACATAGGGGAACAATAGAGAAAAAATAAAACACTGGAAGCAAATCTTATTCCAGAAACAGATTTAGCGAAAGAAAATTCCAAAACATTAAAAAATAAGAAAACAAATGATTTGATGATTGCAAAAGAGAGGTCTTTGGTCATCACTGGGTCCTTAGAGTAACAAGATTTCTTCTGGAATCCACCAAGCATAATTATCCATATGGAACAAATGTGATCAATAGGAGTGTCTTTCCAAGAAAGCAGGTTTCTGAGGTGTAAGATATCCCAGAGCAAGACTGTCAATAGCTACCATAAAACTTAAAATGCCTTTTCAAAGGTACCAAGAAAGCTGTCACTAAACTGACCCTATAAACATTTTAGTACTGGTACCAGAAACATGGGAGCCAATGGTAAAATGAGAATTAATAAGCTTTGAATATGCTAGATGGAAGGTAAAGATGACTGTGACAATTGCAATTAAAAAAACTGCAAAATAATGTAGCAGTGTCTCAGATATCATTCTTCACCAGCAGAGGACAGAATGCATATATATGGTTTATTCTACCTGTAGTAATTCACATAATCTTAAAATGACTCTCCTTATAGATTTCTCCCTATTGAAGTTTTATTCACAACTTATGCTATTAGGACAACTGGCCTAAACTGCCTGTCATTCAGAAGTGGCCAAACTAACAGAGAAGACAGATTCTCTGTCTTTACCCAATCTCAGATAACTTTGAGTCTATGCTTTAGGTTCTAAAATACTACTGTGACTCTAGAGGTTAGGAATACACTTTCGTTATTTGTCTGAAAAATTGAGACAGCTGTGGTAAAATTTTATTTTGTTTCTGCTTCTGGGCATGATTGAATAACTACTGGTCTAGCCCTCCCACTATAAACAGCTATGGAAAGGGACAAAATACGTGAAATGGCAGTTTTAGATATCCAACAAAAAGCAGCATAAGATCGTGACCCCCAAATAAGAGAAACATCAGGTAAGACCCTTAGTCACTCTGGCTTTCTGTCTGCAGTCACTGTCTGTACTGTAGCACAGGAAGACATGCCAAGCAAAGCATGACATTCTCACTAAGCTGGTAAGACAGATATCAGAGATTGATGATGATGAGGCAGATAGAATGCATGGGACATGATACTGAAGAGAAAAGTACTGTGCAGAATAGATGTACCACAAACTCACAGTGGTGCCCTAATGTCTTTGATCCAATATTTGCATACGAGCTGAGGAAATCTCCTTAAGGGCTATCATAGAACGATTTCTAAGGAAATGTCAGCTGAATGGAAATTCTTGAGATCATACCAAAAGTAGAAGTTCCAGGCAGACAGAATAGAGACCTCAGCAAACACCTTGAATATTCAGATGATACTGCAGAATAGCAGTAGGGCCATTCTAGCCTGAATGTAAAAGATACTCATGACCCACCTTAGAAAACTTTAAAACATGCTTGAAAAGCACCTAGTTGGTTCAGAAAATTAACTGGATGCCAGATCAAAGCACAGCACTCTTTAAAAAAATATAACATAAGCCAAGGTTACTTATAACATACTATCAACAGTAGTAAGAAAGCAAAACAAAACAAAATACTACAAATGCAAAGGAACAGGAATATATTACCTATAACTAGAAAAAAACCAGCAATTGGAAACAGACTCAGAGATAACAGAAATGTCAGAATTAGCAGACAATGACTTTAAAAGAGCTATTACAAACAGTTTAAGGAATTAAAAGAAAAAAATGAACAAAACAAGTAAAGAGGTAGGAAATTTCAGAAAAGAAATTGATGTTATGAAAAATGAAAATTCTATAATTGAAGATTTCAATATTTAAAATAAATTAAATAGATTCGCTTTATAGCAGATTGTATAATGCTAAAAAAGTCAGTAAACTTGAAGATAATTAAATATAAATTTTCTAAAATTAAGCACAGAGAGAAAAAATTGCTGAGAAAAGATTAACAAAACAAGCTCAAGCAGTTTAACAAGCAGGGAATTGTACTTCCAGAAGAGACAGATTGTAGCATAAAAATTTCGAAAAAATAATGTCCAGTAGCACATTTTAATGAGGGATATCAAGCTACAGATACAAGTAGGTTACTGAATTCTAAATACAATAAATAGAAAGAACACCATACCTAGGTAAATCATAGTAGCAGTGCTAAAAAAAGATGATGAAGATTTAATTTGTAATTATTTAGCAGAAAATATATATTACATCAAGAAAAGCAAAGATAACATTGACTGCTGAATTCAAGCCAGAAACAATTTAAGGAAGAGAAAAATGGAATGACTTAAATTGCTAAGAGAGGAAAAAAAAATAACTGCCAAGCAAGAATAAAATACCCTCTGCATGTGTTTTTAAAAAATGAAGGGCAATAAGTAATTTCTCAGAGAAAAGGAAGCTGATGTGATGAATTTTTGTTGTTGTTGTTGTGGCAGCAGACCTGTACTACAAGACATGTTAAAAGTTCTTTAGTCAGAGGAAAAATGAAATTAGAAGAAAACCTGGATATCACAAATTATTTTTTAAAATTTTAAATAGTAAATATATGGATGAATATGAAACAGTTTTTACTTTATATTTTGATTTACTGACATGAAAATTATCTGTATAAAGAAAAATAATACTTATTTAGTGTGGGGATTATAACACATGTGGAATAAACTATATGACAACAATAACACAAAGATGGGAGGAATGTAAACAAAAGTATACTGTTGTGGCCGAGTGCAGTGGCTCACACCGGTAATCCCAGAACTTTGGGAGGCTGAGATGGGAGGATCACCTGAGGTCAGGAGTTCGTGACCAGCCTGGCTAACATGGTGAAACCCTGTCTCTACTAAATATACAAAAATTAACTGGGCATGGCTGCTCACACCTGTAGTTCCAGCTACTGGGGAGGCTGAGGTACAAGCATCACTTGAACGTGGGAGGCGGAGGTTGCAGTGAGCCAAGAACATGCCACTACACTGCAGCCTGGGCAACAGAATGAGACTCAATCTCAAAAAAAAAAAGAGTATACTGTTGCAATGTCTTGCATAATATTATGAGGAAATATTAATTTATGGTGGACTGTGATAAATTGAGGATCTATATAATATCACTAAAACAACCAATAAAATATAATAAATAAAAATATAGAGATATATTTGATAAGCCAGTAGATGACATAAAATTGAATACTGAAAAAATTCAATTAACAATAAAGGTATAAAAAAAAGAAAAAAGAAACAAAAACCATATCAGATCATAAGAAAACAAAGAGAAAATGGTACTTCTAAATCTAATCAGATAAATAATTATACTAAATGTAAATAAACTAAACACTCCAATTAAAATGCAGAGATTGTCAGGCTGTATTTTGAAAAGCAATACTTAACTAGATACTATTTTAAAGAGACACTACACACTTTAAATTTAAGCTCATGTTTTAGGTCAAGGTTCTCCAGAGAACGAGAACCTATATCTATATATGTATATATAGATAGATAGATATAGATAGAAATACAGATAAGATATTTGCTATGAGGAATTCACTTACCCATTTATGCGGGCTGAGAAGTTCAATGATCTGCCATCTGCAAATTAGAGACTCAGGAAAGCCAATGGAGTAATTCCAGTTCAAGTCTGAAGGCCTGGGAATCAGGGGAGCTGATGGTGTCAATCCTAGTCCAAGTGCAGAAGACCGATATCTCAGTTAAAGCAAGCACACAGGAAGAAAAAAGGGGCAAATTCTTCCTTCTTTCTTCCTTCCTTTGGCCTTTTTGTTATATTGAGGCCTTCAATAATGGATTGGATGATGCCCATTCACATTATAGAAGGCAATCTACTTTATTGAATCCCTGATTTAAATCACTCTCATCTAGAAACATCCTCACAGACACACCCAGAAATAATGTACAGTCTGAGCATCTTATGGTGCAGTAAAGTTGATACAAAATGTAATCTTCATAGCACACTTAAAGTATGAGCTTATATTTAAAGATACAATTTAACCGTAAGTACTTTAAATGTAAGTATGAAAGTAAAAGAATAATAAAAGTATATACCATGCTAAAAGTCAGAATAAAAAAGGTAAAGTGGTTCTATTATTATCAGCAAAAAAATAGACTTCATGATATCACCAGAATTTAAGGGAGATATTTAATAATGATAACAGGGTTAATTCATTAAGAAGACAAAAGTCCAGCCTGAGCAACATAGCAAGACCCCATCTGTAAAAAAGTATTAAAAAAATTCTGGGTGTGCTGATGCATTCCTGTAGTCCCAGCTACTCAGGAGGCTGAGGCAGGAGTATTTCTTGAATCCATGAGTTCAAGGCTGCAATGAACTTTGATAACGCCATTGCACTCCATTTGGGGTGACAGAGTGAGACTGTTTCTGAAAATAAAGATTCTAAATGTGTACACATCTGATAATAGAACAAAATATAGGCAGCAAATACTGACAGAACTAAAGAAATAAAATGTCAAATTCAAAATTATAGTTGGAAATTTTTTGCTGTTTTCTCAATTGTTAGAGAAAAGTTGTCATAATTCAGTAAAAATATAGAAAAATTGAGAAACACCACTGATCAACTCATGATAACTAACATTTTCAGAGCATTTCACAACGTAGAGTACACATTTTTTCAATTATACATGACACATCCTTCAAGGATATTGTCTAATATAATGCATCATAAAATAAGTTTCAATAATTTTTAAATTAAATGATACAAAGTATTTTTTCTAACCATAAAAAATTAAATTAGAAGTCAATGACAAAATGACATGTTAAAATTTCTTGTGGGTCAAAGAATAAACCTGAAAGGAAATTAGAAAACATTTTGGATTAAATAAAAATAAAAACAAATCCTATCAAGATTTCTGGGAATAAGCTAAAGCTGAATATTTAGAGAGAAATTTACACCATCAAATGATTATAACAGAAAATAATAAAGGTGTCAAATCAGTAATTTAATATCCACCTTTAAACACTTTTATAAAAAGAAGAGAAAATTAAATCCAAAGTAAGTAGAAGGAAGAACATAATAAAGACAAAACTGAAAATCAATAAATAAATAAAAAAAATCAGCATGAGGAAAATGTTTGGTTTATTGGTTCCTTGAAAAAAATCAATAAAATTAATTTAAAAACTTGCTTCATTGACTTTTAAAAATCCACAAATTACCAATATCAGGATTGAAAGACAGAAACTATCTCTAGTGCCTAGGGTTGTTATTAAATATATAATAAGAAAATATTAAAGTTGGGCAAGGTGGCATGTGTCTGTAGTCTCATCTACTTGGGAGGCTGAGGCAGGAGGATTGCTCAAGCCCAGGATTTGAGACCAGCCTGGGCAGGAAGGGAAGACCTCATTTAAAAAGAAAAAAAGACAAAGTATAGAGAAAATATTAAGGAAAATATATGCCAATATAGTTAACAATTTAGTTAAAATATAAAAATTATTTGAAAGAATGAAATTTACCAAACCTAATTGAAAGAAAAACTGAAAATATGAATGGCTTAATATGTGATCAACTATACTTCTTATCAGAAATTTTCTCACAAAGAAAAGTTGAAATCCAGATGACTTCACGGGTGAATTCTATTACACATTTTAGGGAGAAATAATACCAATATTACTAAATGTTTTCAGAAAATAGAGGAGGAAATTATATGTTCCATTGCTTTTCATGAAGGTGAATGACCCTCATATCAAAACCAGAAAATACTCTTACAAGGAAAATAAATTAGTGATTAATATTCCTTTTGAACATGCATGCACAAATATTTAATAAAATATTAGCACATTAAATACAACAACATATAAAAGGATAATATATTGTGTCCAAGGAAATCCAGGTTGGTTTACCATTGAAAAATCAATGTAATTTACCATATTAAATAAGAATAAGAGGGAAAATCCATATAATTCTGTCAACGGAGGCAGAAAAACATAATAAATCCTCTTTCACCACTTCTATTCAAGATTGAACTGATGATTATTGTTGCCGCAACAAAGCACAAAAAAAAAAGTCAAAAGTCCTATAGATTGTAAAGAAAGAAATACAACTCTTGAATAGAAGAGCATGATGGTGTCCCTAACACCATGTAATACTATGCAGCCATAAAAAAGGATGAGTTCATGTCCTTCGTAGGGACATGGATGAAGCTGGAAACCATCATTCTCAGCAAACTATTTCAAGGACAAAAAACCAAACATCGCACGTTCTCACTCACAGGTGGGAATTGAACAATGAGAACACTTGGATACAGGAAGGGGAACATCACACAGTGGGGCCTGTCATGGGGTGGGGGTAGGGGGGAAGGATAGCATTAGGAGATATACATAATGTAAATGAAGAGTTAATGGGTGCAGCACACCAACATGGAGCATGTATACATATACGTTGTGCACATGTACCCTAGAGCTTAAAGTATAATAATAATAAAAAAAAACTCAATGCATCTACAAAAAATACTAAATCTAATAAGTGAATTTAGCAATGTGATAAGATTCAATATTAATACAGAAATTTATAAAAGCTTTATTAGCAGCATACAAATGGAAAATAAAATTTTAGAAAATATTATTTATAATAGCAAAAACAAAAGTATGCTTTGAAATAAATTTACTAAAAGAATGCAAAACTTCTATATTGACAACTGCTAAAGATTGTGAAATTTTAAAGAACCTATATAAATATACATGTTTGTAGATCAAAAGATTCAATAATGTTAAAATGTAATTTTTAAATATTGATCCATTGATTCAATACAATCTCAATAAAATTCCCAGCAGACTTATAAAAATATAAAGCAGCAAGCTAAATCTAAAGTCTAATTGGAAATTCAAAGGGCTTAGAATAGCAACACAATTTTTGAGAAAAGAAAAAAGAGAATTAAGACTTGTTCTATTTAATTTCAAGATATTTTGCAAAGTCATAGTAATCTAGACAGTTTGATATTAGCAAAAAGATAAAAAATAGATCAATGAAACAGAATAGAGAGTCCAGAGATACACATTTTTGTGCAGTCAATTCATTAAAAAAATAGTCAAAGCAATTTAATGTGGAAAGGAAAGTCTTTCAGCATATTGTAAAAACACTACTGAGAAGATATAAATTAAACCTTTATAGATCTAAGTATAGACCCCAAAACTATAAATCGTTTAGGTGAAAATATAAGAATATTTTCATGACCTCGGGGTAAGTAAATAACTTTTAGATAAAGCACAGAAAGCAATAGGCATAAAAACCGATAACTTACATTTACTTAAAAATTAAAATGTCTGCTCATCAAAAGGCAGTATCAAGAAAATGTGTAGGCAAATCATAGAGTGGCATACAACAATAAGTACATATTTGGGCATACACACACACACACACACATACACACATAGACATGTATGTAAATACACATACTTGCATCCAGAGTATATAAAGAATCCCTACAAGTCACTAAAAAATAAAGTAACCCAATTTTTTAAAAAATGGTTTAAATCTGTAAACTTCCATCACAAAAAAGATATGTGAACGGCCAATAAGCATATGAAAAGGAATTCATCATTATTCACACATTAGAATAATTAAAATATAGGAGACTGAAAACATTGACTGTGAGAATCTGGAGTATCCAAGTGTCTCACACATTTCTGATGTAAATAGAAAATAATATAATCATTTTGGGAAAATTACATACAACTACCCTATATCCCAGTAGTTCTATTCCTAAGTATTTATTTGAGAGAAAGGAATATATGTGTCAACAAAAACACTTGTATAAGAATGCTCATAGCAGTTTTATTCATGACAGCCAAACCTGGAACCAGCCCAAATGCCTATCTACTTGAGAATGAATACATAAAATGATAATATATTTATAATCTACTAGTCACCAACTTAAAAAATATGAACTACTTAAAATATGCACCTCATGTCGTCCTAAGAGATGTTGTGCTAAAATTAAACAGCCATACACAAAAGTATGCACATTATTTCTTTGATACCTTTTATGTGAAGTTCTAGAACAGGAAAAACTAACTTATGGTGACATAAATCAGAATATTGCTTGCTTTTGGAGAGAGGAAAGTGTGAGAGGACTTGGATGATACACAAGGGAACTTTTTGTGGTGATGATAATATCTGTATCTTTTTAGGGGATGTGGATTACCTGGAGGATAGCATTTGTCAAAACTCACAAAATGGTAATGCAAGATCTGCGTGTTTCACTTTATGTCAATTGCATTTCAGTAAAATATTTTTAAAGAATGAACTTCAGCAAGATATTTGATAATGATGTGTCTTTTGGCCAAAATTGAGATGGTTACACTATATTGCTATTGTCAGGTAGATTTGTAGCTAATTAAACTTCAACCATTGAATGATACATTGGGGTCTAACTGAAATGAGAATAGGAGCGATTTGCCCCGTAGTCCTGTTATAATTATATTTTTCTCTCCTTATTTTAAGAGTGTTTTGAGTAAATATATGGAATGCTACTTCTTATTTGAGATACATACAGCTGAGAAATTTGACTTGTGCATTGGATGGTGCAATTGAAACAGAAAATGTTATTATGCAACTGCAACAGACACTGTGAAATTTTAGAGACATAAAGCCTTACATTTACAAGGGAAAATATTTACCCAAGTAAAAGTTAGTAGGATGATGTCTTCATGCTATTCATTTGATAAAAAATGTTTAATTGTCTATGCATTACTAGAAAACAAATCCTCCATATGAAATGAGTAAATATCTGATCTGTGAGAAAAAAAAAACAAAACAGAAAGGACTCCTCACCATAAAGTGAGAACTTGGTAGTTGGAAGAGTTTTTGAGATGTTATGATTTTTGTACATTGAATGAGAGGTTGGACCAGGTGATGAATGGGTTTCTTCAAATAGTGCTTTTATTCTTCTGAGGTCCTGACATCTGGCTCAACATTTTTTGTCTTTTGAGACAGAGTTTCACTGTTGTTGCACAGGCTGGAATGCAGTAGCACAATCTCAGCTCACTGCAACCTTTGCCTCCAGGTTCAAGCATTTCTCCGGCCTCAGCCTCCCGAGTAGCTGGAACTACAAGCACCCACCACCATGTCCCGCTAATTTGTATAGTTTTAGAGGAGATGGAGTTTCACCATGTTGGCAAGGCTGGTCTTGAACTCATGACCTCATGATCCACCCACCTCGACCCTGCAAAGTGCTGGGATTACAGGGATTGTTGCCTTTCCCCTTCCACCATGTGAGGACACAGGCGTGCTCAGTCCTGGCTCAACTTTTGATGAGTGTACTCTGTGACTAACATAATCAGAGCCAAGAAAGCAATCATACCTTCTCTCTTTAAGAGTATGATCTGTGGTTGGGCACGGTGGTTCACACCTGTAATCCCAGCACTTTGGGAGGCCAAGACAGGCAGATCATGAGGTCAGGAGATCAAGACCATCCAGGCCAACATGGTGAAACCCGGTCTCTACTGAAAATACAAAAATTAGCTGGGCATTGTGGCACGTGCCTGTAATCCCAGCTACTCGGGAGGCTGAGGCAGGAGAATCACTTGAACCAGGGAGCTGGAGGTTGCAGTGAGCCGAGACGCGCCACTGTACTCCAGCCTGGGCAACTGAGCAAGACTCCATCTCAAAAAAAAAAAAAAAAAAAGGAGTAAAATCTGTGACAATAATAACAACACTAAATGGAATTACACTAGAAGTTATTATACACAGTTGAATTAAATGGAAAGAATCAATCTATCAGCAGATGATATCAAATATTTATATTGAACAAAAGTACAAGAAAATGTGCATTTGTGAGGCAAGAGAGGAGAAAAGAAAGGTGGTCCCTAAATTTTGCATGTTGGAGGGAAGAGAAGACAAAAACACTTGTGAAAGGGTTGCCTTCTACCTTTTTTGAAAGGCCCTAAGAATAAAATATGCATTATATCTACCAGATATCATTTGATGTTGATGCTCCACCCACCTTTCAAAGTTCTCCCTTTTACTACAGTGGCTAAAAAATGACACTTAAAATGGCATTTAAAAAATAATGTTGGGGAACATATTTAATATTTGGGAGGTGGATAAAAAAGAGAAAAGCCATAATTTTTCTGTAGTAGCAATGGGCAGACATGGAATTGAAAAATGGCAGATGTGAGATTTTGCTAGCAGGTTCCAGCTGTCCTCCTGAGAATGCCGCACCTAGACTTTTCAGAAAATTGAGATTATTGACAGCACCTTTTCTGCAATCCATTCTCTTATGGATCTCCTGAAAAGATAGCAGTGTTTCTCATGCATTCACGCCTCCACAGTTTCCAAAGGTTATGTAAGCCTCTAATTCCCTGTATTAAAAGGGATTTCATGCCTTTCTTCATGCCTTTCTTGCAGCGGTGGCAGATCTCCTATATGCCTATACCAATAAAGGAAGCTTTCTCTGGAGTCTAATTCCCTGCATTAGATCCCTTATCACTTGACATATTTAGTGAAGTTTCCTTACCAAACCCTGACTACTTCAACCTAAGAGAAGTAATATAAGTTTTAGAATTTTTGATAATTCAGGAATTTTATTTATTTTAAAAGCACCTATTATGCCAAACACTAAGCTGTTGGGTATAACTGTGCACTCAGAGATGATGTGACTCATGTTCTCATTATATTTTCATTTAGTGGGAAAATAAGACAGTTTAAAACTGGCTCTAAGAGTATCTCAAGTCATTCTAATGCACAGTGTTGAGAGCCACAACTGAATTTTTATGTTTCTTCTAAAACTGCTTTGCATCCTGAATTACTTATTTCTTTTGATGGCGTATAATGTGGCCTGAATGACTGTGTTCCCCCCAAATTGCTATGTTGAAAACCTGATCACCAAAGTGATGATATTAAGAGGTGAAGCCTTGGGGAGATGACTAGGTCATGAGGGCAGAGTCTCCAGAGTGGGATTAGTGCCCTTATCAAAGAGACCCCAGAGAGCTGCCTTTCTCCTTCCACCATGTGAGGACACAGCAAGAAGGCAAATTTGTTGGTTGGCTGAACACTCTGTGTTTTGGTCCTAAGTAAAATCTATTACTTATTTGCTCAATGGCTGGACAATTTGAAGAGTAGGAAAGATATAGAGAGGATGTTTGGATGTTAGTAAATACGATGAGTTCAGAAGAATGCCAGCCACATTGTGTAGAACAGTAGAGATGGAGGCAATACTATTCATGCTTGAAAGTACATATGCCTCTTCTTCAGCTAGGCCATTATTATTGGAAAATTGAGTTGATCTAGTCAAGAGTTAAGCTGGATTTGGATTTTGTTTTTAATATGGCTACCCTCAGGGTACTATAAAATTCAAATTCCTCTGAGGCTCTGCCTTAATGTATATACTCCAAGCTGAACTTTCTGCCATCCTGATTTGCCTATACTCTACAGGGGGTCTCTTGTCACACTTTTGTCATTTCTCAGTATCAGACTGCTGTTGCTTGGTACTTGGCGCTTACTGGGCTGATGAGAGGGAGGTTCTATGCTGTCTAGTTCAGCTAAATGGAAGTAGGCTTTGTGTGCCTGGGCTTTGTGGTAGGATTTCCACAGTGTTCTTGCCCCTCTTCCACATGGCAGCCAAAATCTGCCTATTTTCTGTATGGGTCACGAGCAGGAGGAAGTTTTTTGCTCCTCCTCCAGTGGTAGGAGATCTCTAATTGTTTTATAGGATTTTAGATAGAGGACTCTTGCCTACTGCTTCCCCATGAGTAGAGGGTGCTTTCCACACTTCCTCCAGGAACAATGAATCTTCACTCCTGTTGACAGGGTTTGTTGCCCTTTCTTTATTTAAGGCTTTTTCCCATTGAGAGAGGAATCTAAGCAGGGGATGGGGCTTCATGCCTTTCCTGCTGTGGCAGCAGATCCCCTTCTGAACACCTGCACCCTGAAGGTGGCTCTCTCTGGACTACCTACCTGCTCCAAATCTACAGTGAATACAAACTTCTTTTGCCTCTAGGCTTCCCAGTGTTCTATACTATAGTGCTAGCCCACATTTAACTTACCAATACATTCAAATTTTAGCTGATTCAAGCCAAAAGAACAAAGCGGAGGCATTCCATTACTCAACTTGAAACTATACTACAGAGCTACAATAACCAAAACAGCATGGTACTGGCACAAAAACAGACACATAGAAGAGAGGAACATAATGGAGAGCCAGAAATCAGACTGCACACCTACAACCATCTGATCTTCAAAAAAACTGACAAAAATGAGTAATGCAGAAAGGACTCACTATTCAATAAATGGTGCTGGGATAACTGGCTAGCTATATGAGGAAGATTGAAACTGAACACCTTTCTTACACCGTATACAAAAATCAACTCAAGATGGAGAAAAGAGTTAAAAGTAAAAATCAAAACTATAAAAACCCTGAAAGACAACCTAGGCAATACCATTCTGGACATAAGAATGAGCAAAGATTTCATGACAAACATGCCAAAAGCAATCCCAACAAAAGCAAAAATTGACAAATGGGATCTAATTAAGCTTAAGAGCTTCTGCACGGCAAAAGAAACTATCAACAGAGTAAACAGACAACCTAGAGAATGGGAGAAGATTTTTTAAACTCTGCATTTGACAAAGATTTAATACCCAGCATCTGTAAGGAACTTAAACAAATTTACCAGAAAAAAAAAACCCTATTTAAAAGTGGGCAAAGTACCCGACAGACACTTTTCAAAAGAAAACATACAAGTGGCCCACAAGCATATGAAAACATCACCGATCATTAGAGAAATGCAAATCAAAACAATGAAATACCATTTCATACCAGTCAGAATGGCTATTAGTAAAAAGTTAAAAAATAACAGATGCTGAAGAGATTATGCAGAAAAGGGAACACGTATACACTGTTGGTAGGAGTGTAAATAAGTTCAGTCATTGTGGAAAGCAGTGTGGCGATTCCTCAAAGAGCTAAAAACAGAACTTCCATTTGACCCAGCAATCTCATTACTAGGTACGTACCCAGAGGAATATATATCACTCTACCATAAAGACACATGCATGCATATGTTCATTCACAATAGCAAAGATGTGGAATCAACCTGAACACCCATCATTGACAGATTAGATAAAGAAAATATGGTATATATACACAATGGAATACTATGCAGGCATAAAAAAGAATGAGAGAATGTCATTTGTGGGAACATTGAGGCCATTATCCTTAGCAAACTAATGCAGGAACAGAAAACCAATTACTACATGTTCTCACTTATAAGTGGGGCTAAATTATGAGAACTCATGGATATAAAGAAGGGAACAATAAGCCCTGGGGTCTACTTGAGGGTGGAGGGTGGGATGAGGGAGAGGAGCAGAAAAAAAAATGACTATTGGGTAGTACCTGGGTGATGAAATAATCTGTACAACAACCCCCAGTGACAAGAGTTTACCTGTATAGCAAACCTGCATATATACCCCTGAACCTAAAATAAAGGCTTAAATAAGTTTCTATGGATTAACTATTTTACATTTTCCACTCTAAGTAAAATAATTTAAGTCAACTCTAAATAAAATTATGGAGATTGCTAAAAAAATTTCTGGCTGATTTCTTCCTACTACTTGTATAGCTGCTATATAAGTCTCCTGTTGTCTTCCACTGATGATCTAGGCCCAGTGTCCCATCTGTCCTTGATTTCAGGCTACTTGGTTTTCTTACAATTCAGCTACCTGATGGGTTCAAGAAAAGTTGTGACTTTTATTTTTTCTCTTGCTTTTTCTTGTTTTTAGCATGGAAGCAATGCTTTTTCCAGCTTTCTGCATTCTAGGGTAAAGCCTATTCTGGCTTTAAAAAAATAACTTATCCAGGGTTAGAAATAATTTGTAGTGATAAAAATAAAAATAATAATCTGTATGGTGGAAACCAGAGGCCTTAAGACTTAATATAGAGGAAATTGATGAAGGTCTCCCAGAATAATCACAATTAGTGAGCAAACAATGAAGAAAGGATTTGAGTTCATGTGGGAAAGAACATGTTAGTGGCAACCTTATGATATCCATGAAATATTTTCTTTCTTTACCAGGGACATCTAGGAAAGAACAAGATGTTCTGGTCAAAGTCCTTTCTAAATTACTAGCAGATAATACAGAAAGTCCTTACATATGAAAAACTTTTAGCAGAGTACATCTGGTATGTCTAGGTTGCAATTGTACATGCCCCAAGAATTCATAGATATATGGGTCATAGATCACTGGACGATATCACATAAACTAGATAATAAGTGAAGTATAAAAAGGAGCTGTTCAATAACCAGAATGGCTCCTTCTATAACAAGCAATATTATGGATGTATTGCCTAGAACATAACATGTTTAATAAAAAACTGAGCAGTTCCTAATGGAACTGTACTATTGTTTTAAATCTTTCCAAAGGCAATGAAACAGATTGCCAATGAATTGCTATCACCCATATCTTTTTAATTACTAGCAAAGTTCAGTAGTGAAGAAAATATCTGATTCTGGTAAGTCAGATTTTACAGGCCAAACCATTCTTTTTAATCTCAATAGGTATTTTTGATTTCAAAGTGCATACATGTTCTACTGTCCAGTAATGCCTGGCATGTAATCACTGAGTCAAAATTCAGAATTTATGTCATTTTATCACACAAACTCTTCAGTCATATTTAGGCAGTTTTCATTTGCTCCTCATTTTGAAATAGTACCACATACTTGATGGTATGATCTGTGGCCAAAATTCCAGGAAACCAGAAATATCTGTGTAACACATACAAATAAAAAAGGAAAGAAATATAACGTCAAATAAACAACAGTATATTTTTCTTGCATATAAAGTATTCTTGTAGGCTATTTTATGATAGATCCTTGATTTGCTTTCAGTAACAGCAGCCACAGAAAATGAAGCATTCTCCTAGGTACTTCTTAATTTATGGTTTTATTATATCAAAGGTAATAGACACAAGAAACAATAATTTCTTTTCAATCTTGCTCAGTGCTCAACCTAGGCAAAGTCAACACGAGGCTTCATAGCCAGACCCTACCATCAGTGTAACCAGAATTCTGATATTATACAGTAAAGCTTTTCATCAGAATTGGCTCAGGACTGAGCCTGCAAATTAAAGTTATTAATTTTATGAAGCAGAAGGAGGGGCTACTCAGAGCAAGTCTCAGTGACAAAACTAAAGCTGAATAAAAACTTGATTAATTAAGGTACAACTAAAATTAAGATCTCCGTATGTATTTTACATTGCTTATGCTTTTAAATAGGACCATTTTTTTCACACATCCATTGGTCTTGATTTCTTCAGTTGCTCATTGTATTTAATATAATGACTTTGTCTTTAATAAATAGTTGGTTTTAATATTGGATACATAGAGTTCTGTATTGTTAAATAAATATTATTTTTATTATTCTTTTTTTGGGGAAAATAGTCTTGCTCTGTTGCCCAGTTTGGAGTGCAGTGGTGAGATCTTGTTTCACTGCAACCTTCGCCTCCCAGGTTCAAGTAACTCTCGTGCCTCAGCCCTCTGTGTCACTGGAATTACAGGCGTGCACCACCACACCTGGCTAATTTTTGTATTTTTAGTAGAGATGGGGTTTCCCCATGTTGGCCAGGCTGGTCTCGAACTCCTAGCCCCAAGTAATCTGCCCACCTTGGCCTCCCAAAATGCTGGGATTACAGGCATGAGTCACAGTGCCCAGTCTGTTATTCTTGAAGGATTTTATTTTTACTTTTTTCAAACCAACTACTTGAATTGGCTACATACAAATTTGGAAAGCTCTCTAAATTAAGCAAACTTCTTGCCTTGTCTTAAGGTCATTTATTTCCAACCAATCACACACAGATACAGATACAGACATATGCGTTTATTTTAGAAACCCTCATAACTTGACCCATACTTTGCAGCCCCTGGCATCACATACAATTATTTTTTATACGATAAAATAAATCAGACCATTCAAAACAAATCAAAACTGATAGATCCATTGGTATTGAACCTGTCTAGAAGAGCCTGAGAGTGCTGAGAGGGAAGAGATTTGGGAAAACAGAAGTGCAGCCAGGATTGTGAGTTTCAGTATTGTCTTCCTTCCTGGAGTGACTGTGCCCACGCTAAGCAAGCATAGTAATGTTTCTTGCTCTCTTGCTCAGTGATAGGGCTTACCATGAGCACCCCAGGATGACTTTTGAGCAGTTTGTTTACCCGAAAGATAATAATCAGTCAATATTTTGACAATAGCTCTGGAAAACAACCAGTTTTTATCTGAGTCAGAAGACCTTTTCAATTGTCTTGAATAAAGTTCATATTAGGATCGTGTTTTATCCCTGATGCCTTTAATTGGTTTCTTATCAGATAATAGAAAGCTTGACACATTATATTTTTTAACTTCAGAAAGTTTTGCTTAGAGTCTTTAGATAAAAATTAATTAGGTCATTAGAAAGAAATTACTAAAAACCACTGTGTTTCTATAGAAAATATAAATAATTTGGGATCAGAAGACCAATTGTTTTCTATTTGTTAGCTTTATGATCCCAAGTAAGTCTGCAAGCCCCTTAACTTCTCTGTCTTGCTTTTTTAAGTCCGTAAGATGGGAAGAAAATACCTGATTTGCCTATTCCATAGGGATGTTGTGAATATCAAATGAAAGAATGTGCACTGATATGGTTTGGCTGTGTCGCACCCAAATCTCATCTTGAACTTTAGCTCCCATAATCCTCATGTGTCTTTGGAGGAACCTGGTGAGAGGTAACTGAATCATAGGGGTGGTTACCTCCATGCTATTCTCATGACAGTGAGTGAGTTCTCACAAGATCTCATGATGCATGAGGGGCTTTTCCATCCCCTTCCCTCTGCACTTCTCCTTCCTGCCACCATGTGAAGAAGGATGCGTTTGCTTCCCCTTCAGCCATGATTGTAAGTTTCCTCAGGCCTCCCCAGCACGCTGAACTGTGAGTCAATTAAACCTCTTTCCTTTATCAATTACTCAGTCTTGGATATGTCTTTATTAGCACGTGAGAACAGACTAATACATGCACAGAATTCCTGGTAATGGGAACATGTTTGATTCATCCACTTGAGTATTTACACTATCCCTTGATCCATCACTCAATTTTTGATGTGTTCCTAAATTAGAGTTTTGCCCAATTAAATCATGTCTTCTCTTAGAGTAAGGATGGAAAAGAGATTTCCTCTCATATATCAACACGGTGATAGTGGCTGCCTAACATACTACATTAGAAGGATTCTGAAGAAGTTTTAGGTTTAATAGGAATAAGTATTGTTAATAACTAGTGGTATCTCCCATGAGGATCAATATAGAAATACAAGTAGCCACAGCACACATTTGAAATAGCCTCTTTAAAGGTTGAGGCAGTTATTCCAATAAGTCTAGATACGATTTGCCAGCTAAGGACCAACATTAACACAGAAACATAAAAGATTTACATGACTTAGTACCAATCTCTACCACCTGGCCAAGACAAACCTGACAGTCTTTTTGAGGATAATTAATAATACAACCTTTTTGTATGAACTTAATAAGCCGATTTTTAAATTTTGGAATAGAAAAGGGAAGTTGAACACTACAGTGATCTAGCTGTGATGCTTTAAAACGCAAGGTGAACTTGGGTCCTCTGACCTGCAAGGTAAGCATCCTCCATTTTGCTTCACTCAAAGACAGAAACTTTCCATGATAAGGGACAGTCCTTTAGTAAAGGGATATGAATAGATATGTGCATCTCCCTGTGAGAACCCCCTAATGTGTTGTCAGGGACCATGGAGAACATATTCATATCACTGCTTTTTTTTTTTTTTTTTACAATTTCAAATTATTGTTAATGTATGTCAAGAAAATCAATCCCAAGGTGTTGTCTGTCAATGTAATCATCTGAGGAAAAAGTATATACAGTTTTGACAATTAGCTCTTAAAACGAGCTATTAAAACGTGGTACATGTTAATATATAGACACATACACTGTGGACTCTACCTCATAGATATAGACTGACTCCAAAAGATATGGTTGATACATTTTCCTTGAAAACATTTATTCATTCATCCATTTATTTATTCAACAGATAATATTTGAGCATTGACTGTGTGCCAAGCATTGTGCTGGATACTGGTAATACAAGGGTGAATAGGACAAGCATGTTTCCTTATCTTTATGGGATTTACCTCCTAATAGAGAAACAATCAGTCAGGTAATCACATATGAGGGACCTGCTACCAAGAACAGAGTACTGTATTCTAAGAAGACCATAACAGAAAACCTTAATTCTGTGAGATTAGGAGAAGCTAAAACTTAAAAGTTTCTAGTGACTAACAGGGTGGAAATATAGAAATATTTTCTAGATGAGAGATCAGAAAGTGAAATGGTTAACATAGCTAACTGAGCCAGTCAGCCTTGATTTAAAAAACATAGACAGGTAATTGGTGTATAAGAATGCTTGTGATTTTTGTACATTGATTTTGTATCCTGAGACTTTGCTGAAGTTGCTTATCAACTTAAGGAGATTTTGGGCTGAGACAATGGGGTTTTCTAGATATACAATCATGTCGTCTGCAAACAGGGATAATTTGACTTCCTCTTTTCCTAATTGAATACCGTTTATTTCCTTCTCCTGCCTAATTGCCTTGGCCAGAACTTCCAACACTATGTTGAATAGGAGTGGTGAGAGAGGGCATCCCTGTCTTGTGCCAGTTTTCAAAGGGAATGCTTCCAGTTTTTGCCCATTCAGTATGATATTGGCTGTGGCTTTGTCATAGATAGCTCTTGTTATTTTGAGATACGTCCCATCAATACCTAATTTATTGAGAGTTTTTAGCACGAAGAGTTGTTGAGTTTTGTCAAAGGCCTTTTCTGCATCTATTGAGATAATCATGTGATTTTTGTCTTTGGTTCTGCTTATATGCTGGATTACATTTATTGATTTGTGTATATTGAACCAGCCTTGCATCCCAGGGATGAAGCCCACTTGATCATGGTGGATAAGCTTTTTGATGTGCTGCTGGATTCAGTTTGCCAGTATTTTATTGAAGATTTTTGCATCAATGTTCATCAAGTATATTGGTCTAAAATTCTCTTTTTTGGTTGTGTCTCTGCCCGGCTTTGGTATCAGGATGATGCTGGCCTCATAAAATGAGTTAGGGAGGATTCCTTCTTTTTCTATTGATTGGAATAGTTTCAGAAGGAATGGTACCAGTTCCTCCTTGTACCTCTGGTAGAATTAGGCTGTGAATCCATCTGGACCTGGACTCTTTTTGGTTGGTAAGCTATTGATTATTGCCACAATTTCAGCTCCTGTTATTGGTCTATTCAGAGATTCAACTTCTTCCTGGTTTAGTCTTGGGAGAGTGTATGCGTCGAGGAATTTATCCATTTCTTCTCGATTTTCTAGTTTATTTGTGTAGAGGTGTTTGTAGTATTCTCTGATGGTAGTTTGTATTTCTGTGGGATCGGTGGTGATATCGCCTTTATCATTTCTTATTGCGTATATTTGATTGTTCTCTCTTTTTTTCTTTATTAGTCTTGCTGGTGGTCTATCAATTTTGTTGATCCTTTCAAAAAACCAGCTCCTGGATTCATTAATTTTTTGAAGGGTTTTTTTGTGTCTCTATTTCCTTCAGTTCTGCTCTGATTTTAGTTATTTCTTGCCTTCTGCTAGCTTTTGAATGTGCTTGCTCTTGCTTTTCTACTTCTTTTAATTGTGATGTTAGGGTGTCAATTTTGGATCTTTCCTGCTTTCTCCTGTGGGCATTTAGTGCTATAAATTTCCCTCTACACACTGCTTTGAAAAACAGAGAGCCAAATCATGAGTGAACTCCCATTCACAATTGCTTCAAAGAGAATAAAATACCTAGGAATCCACCTTACAAGGGATGTGAAGGACCTCTTCAAGGAGAACTACAAACCACTGCTCAATGAAATAAAAGAGGACACAAACAAATGGAAGAACATTCCATGCTCATGGATAGGAAGAATCAATATCGTGAAAATGGCCATACTGCCCAAGGTAATTTACAGATTCAATGCCATCCCCATCAAGCTACCAATGACTTTCTTCACAGAATTGGAAAAAACTACTTTAAAGTTCATATGGAGCCAAAAAGGAGCCCACATCGCCAAGTCAATCCTAAGCCAAAAGAACAAAGCTGGAGGCATCACACTACCTGACTTCAAACTATACTACAAGGCTACAGTAACCAAAACAGCATGGTACTGGTACCAAAACAGAGATATAGATCAATGGAACAGAACAGAGCCCTCAGAAATAACGTTGCATATCTACAACTATCTGATCTTTGACAAACCTGAGAAAAACAGGAAATGGGGAAAGGATTCCCTATTTAATAAATGGTGCTGGGAAAACTGGCTATCCATATGTAGAAAGCTGAAACTGGATCCCTTCCTTACACCTTATACAAAAATCAATTCAAGATGGATTAAAGTCTTAAACGTTAGACCTAAAAGCATAAAAACCCTAGAAGAAAACCTAGGCATTACCATTCAGGACATAGGCATGGGCAAGGGCTTCATGTCTAAAACACCAAAAGCAATGGCAACAAAAGACAAAATTGACAAATGGGATCTAATTAAACTAAAGAACTTCTGCACAGCAAAAGAAACTACCATCAGAGTGAACAGGCAACCCACAAAATGGGAGAAAATTTTCTCAACCTACTCATCTGACAAAGGGCTAATATCCAGAATCTACAATGAACTCAAACAAATTTACAAGGAAAAAACAAACAACCCCATCAAAAAGTGGGTGAAGGACATGAACAGACACTGCTTAAAAGAAGACATTTAGGCAGCCAAAAAACACATGAAAAAATGCTCATCATCACTGGCCATCAGAGAAATGCAAATCAAAACCACAATGAGATACCATCTCACACCAGTTAGAATGGCAATCATTAAAAAGTCAGGAAACAACAGATGCTGGAGAGGATGTGGAGAAATAGGAACACTTTTACACTGTTGGTGGGACTGTAAACTAGTTCAACCATTGTGGAAGTCAGTGTGGTGATTCCTCAGGGATCTAGAACTAGAAATACCATTTGACCCAGCCATCCCATTACTGGGTATATACCCAAAGGACTATAAATCATGCTGCTATAAAGACACATGCACACGTATGTTTATTGTGGCACTATTCACAATAGCAAAGACTTGGAAACAACCCAAATGTCCAACAATGATAGACTGGATTAAGAAAATGTGGCACATATACACCATGGAATACTATGCAGCCATAAAAAATGATGAGTTCATGTCCTTCGTAGGGATGTGGATGAAGTTGGAAATCATCATTCTCAGTAAACTATCGCAAGAACAAAAAACCAAACACCGCATATTCTCACTTATAGGCGTGAATTGAACAATGAGAACACATGGACACAGGAAGGGAAACATCACACTCTGGGGACTGTTGTGGGGTGGGGTGAGGGGGGAGGGATAGCATTGGGAGATATACCTAATGATAGATGAGGAGTTAGTGGGTGCAGCACACCAGCATGTCACATGTATACATATGTAACTAACCTGCACATTGTGCACATGTACCCTAAAACTTAAAGTCTAATAATAATAATAAAAAATAAAAAATAGAAATAAATAAAAAAATAAAAAACATAGACAGGTAAATACGTTACTTAGAAATTGAATCACTTAAAGTGATAACTATATATTTCTGATGCTGGTATTTTCTTCATTTTCACCCACAACTAGGAAATTTTGAGTGTCTATTTTCTTGATAGACTTCAGAAGCATAATCCTTTTGTCTGGATTCTCCCTCCCCATTGTGCCCCCACCCCTTTTGAACATGAGTTATCAAAACCATCATCTATAACAAGAATCTGAAACAGGCTTTTCACATTCCTATAGAATAATGTCAACTGCCCAGAAATCTAGCCACATATCCTTAAAATGCATACACATCATCAAAGAGAATTTAAAAACTTTTACTAGGGCAGCCTACGTCCAAGGACTGGTTGACATGGTAATAAAAAGACTTCAAGTCGAGACAACTCTAAATGGATTTTAGAGTTCCTTATAGGGTTAACTGAGACCTTCAGTGAGTTTGCCTCACAGCCCAACTTCTGTTCAATTCTGTTTCCTTCTTTTCCCTTCCAGAAGTGGTGAATCTAAGCACTGCTAAATCAAGCTCTTGCAAGGTAATCTCTGTGCTATAGACTGAAATATGTCTTCCCCAGATTCATATGTTGAAGGACTAACTCTGAACATGGGTGTATTTGGAGATAGATTAAAGTTAAATGAGATTATAAAGGTGAAATCCTAATCTGATAGGACTAGTGGGCTTATAAAAAGAGGAAGAAAAGGATTCTCTCTCTCTCTCTCTCTCTCTCTCTCCATGTGCAAAGCCAGATGAAAGTCAACAAGAGCAAGCCAGAAAAAGAGTTATCAGAACTTGGCCACGCCAGCATCCTGATCTGAGACTTCAAGACTCCAGAATTGTGAGAAAATAAATTTTTGTTGTTTAAGCCACCCAGTCAATGGTATTTAACTATGGCAGCCCAAGCTGACTAATACACTTCACCTCAGCATCTGCTTCCTAGGAAACTCAACATGAGGCAGTCACTCTGTCACCACTGACTATAAGACTAGGATACAGTCACATATAGTCACCATTGCCTATATGACTAGGGTTATTTTTTGGACTCCAATGAGTCCAAGAAACAAATGGATTATATATAAAGAGATTCCAATATGCTTAAGTACTTTCTGAGTTAAAACTTGAGCTTTCTATTTAGAAAGCATCTTCTCAACCTGAATTACTCCAACAAGATAACTGCCTGGTGAGCACAAGGCTATTCATCATATTCATGACATGGAGAGATGGTGCTGCTGGTCCCTGAGTTTCTGGCAGGTGGAAATGGAGAGAGTGTCATTTCCAGTACGTCACGTCCCCAGCGGTGCTGAATCACTTGAAATTCCAAACAGCTGCATTGTCTCCGCTAAGGTTTCTCACCATCAGAATGCAAGAAACTGCAGAGCTCTGATACAGGCAATAAGGAGAGCCCACTGAGCCAAGAAAACAACAAGTAGCTTTGTAGAAGCCTCTGGAAATTTAGCATTTCCAGTGAAAGCCTTGTCTGCTCTGAGAACTGTCCTTCACTCCAAAATATTAGGGATGGGTAAGGTGTCTATGGGAAAATAAGAAAACCTGAACCTTGCCTTGTAATCACCACTTCCTCACTGAGATTTCTGAAGCAGATTTACACAAGGACCAATATCACAAAGAGAAATAAAGTACCACTTCATCATTAAAGCTGGGCTAGCACCTGACACCATAATAAGGACTCTCTGGTGTTGGTAGATTAAATTGACTCAGTTGACACTGGAAGCTGAAGCAGTATCTCTTTCTCCATTCCAAACCCAAACACAGATTTTTACATTTTATTTCCTTTAGTTAGAAGCAAGAGAAAAAAAAAATAAGAGAGATCTGATGGAGCCTGAGCACACTTCCGATCATATTGCTCTCTTTATCTGGAAAGCCTTCTTCAAACAATGCTCCATCCTACAGCCTCTAGAAACCTCCACTTGCCATGTAAGACTCTCCTGAGTGAAGAGTTTCTGATTTCCACCGGCAGAAGAAGTTACTTCTTACTTTGTGCCTTCCATTTTACTGCATGTTTCAGCCTCTTTATAATTACTTACTGGATTATTTGAATCACTGAGTAATGAGTTTCTCAGAGGCAGGGACCATGTCTTACTATGTCAGATTAATCTAACATGGGACCTGACAAAGTGCTGTATATCCAGGTACCTGAAATCACATGTCATGTAGCCCAAACCTTTCTTTCCAGCCTCAAATCTCACTAAACCCATCAGTTCTTCACTTACCCACATTACCCTGTTTTATCCACAACACAAGACTTTGACCTGCAAACATGATGTATGTAGCCATATCCTCAAGCTTTCACTTATATAGTTCCTTATGCCCAAAATGTTCTCCTATCATGTCAAACTATAAAAAATCATCATCTGCCTCCAAAATCTTTATTAAATACTTTTTTCTTTTTTCTTTTTTTTTTTTTTTTTAGACGGAGTCTGGCCCTGTCACTCATGCTGGAGTACAATGGCGCGATCTCGGCTCACTGCAACCTCCACCTCCCCAGTTCAAGAAATTCTCCTGCCTCAGCCTCCCGAGTAGCTGGGATTACAAGCGCTCACCACCACGCCCGGCTAATTTTTTGTATCTTTAGTAGAGATGGAGTTTCACCATGTTGGCCAGGCTGGTCTGGAACTCCTGACCTCATGATCCACCCACCTCAGCCTCCCAAAGTGCTGGGATTAGAGGCGTGAGCCACTGCTCCTGGCCTTAAATACCAATTTCTTCACCCAGTCTCCTTGTTGCTTTCACATTATCACAATTATTTCACATTGACCCCTTTTTTCCACAGGCATCATACTTTGTTATGTTCCTACAATACAATGGAATGCCTCTCAGGAATATAAAAAAAAATGACTTGTCAATACTTGCAACAACATAGATTAACCTGAAAATTATGCTGAATAAAAGAAGCCAAGCACAAATGAGTGCCTCCCATATAAATCCATTTATATAAAATTCTAAATAATGGAAACTAATGTATAGAGACAGAAGACAAATCAGTGGTTACCTGTGGCTTTGGGTTACAAAAGGACATAAGAAAACTTTTGGAGTGATAGAAAATACTTGTTTTCTTGATTGTGGTGAAAGTTTCATGGGTCTATAAATGTGTAAAAATGCATCAAACTGTACATTTTACATATGTACAATGGATTGTACTTTATGCCTCAGTAAAGTACGGGGAGAAACCCTCAGTGTTTCCTTATCATCAAAGAGTAAGATACAATCTGTCACAGGATATCTGACCTCACTTTGGCTTCCTTGCCAGCCACTTTCTACATATGTTTTGCTAGTAGGACTGAACTGCAGCTAATCCCTTAAACACTTCTCTTCTTTGTCACATGTTGGTCACATGCTTTGTCATATAGAATGACTCCTCTCCAGAAAGCTCATCCTTTCTCCTGTCCACCTAGAAAACAACTATTTATCTCTCAAAATTCAGCTCAGTGGCTGGTATATACAGTAGTTACTTAATAAGTAATTGTCCAGTGCATGATTGTGCTAAGGTGTCAACTCCTCTAGGAAGCCTACTTTGACCATTTACACATATCTCCTGGAGTTAGTCTTTCAGTAATTCATTAGTACCACTTCTTTTTTAAATGTCTTTATTTTATTTTACTTTAAGTTCTGGGATACATGTGCAGAACGTGCAGGTTTGTTACATAGGTATACATGTGCCACGGTGGTTTGCTGCACCTATCAATGCATCATCTATGTTTTAAGCCCCACATGCATTAGGTATTTGTCCTAATGCTCTCCCTCCCCTTGCCTCCCACCCCTGAAAGGCCCCAGTATGTGATGTTCCCCTCTCTGTGTCCATGTGTTTTCATTGTTCAACTTCCACTTATGAGTGAAAACATGCAGTGTTTGGTTTTCTGTTCCTGTGTTAGTTTGCTGAGAATGACGGCTTCCACCTTCATCCATGTCCCTGAAAAGGACATGAATTTATTCTTTTTTATGGCTACATAGTATTACATGGTGTATATGTGCCACATTTTCTTTATCCAGTCTATCATTGATGGACATTTGGGATGGTTCCAAGTCTTCACTATTGTAAATAGTGCTGCAATAAACATACTTGTGCATGAATCTTTATAGTAGAATGATTTCTAATCCTTTGGGTATATAAGCAGTAATGGGATTGCTGGGTCAAATGGTATTTCTGGTTCTAGATCCTTGGGGAATCACCCACTATCTTCCACAATGGTTGAACTAATTTGCACTCCCACCAACAGTGTAAAAGCTTTCCTATTTCTCCACAGCCTCGCCAGCATCTGTTGTTTCCTGACTTTTTAATAATCACCATTCTAACTGGCGTGACATGATATCTCACTGTGATTTTGATTTGCATTTCTGTAATGACCAGTGATGATGAGCTTTTTTTCCTATGTTTATTGGCCACATAAATGTCTTCTTTTGAGAAGTGTCTGTTCATATCCTTCACCCACTTTTTGATGGGGTTGTCTGTTTTTGTCTTGTAAATTTAAGTTCCTTGTAGATTCTGGATATTAGACCTTTGTCAGATGTATAGATTGCAAAAATTTTCTCCCATTCTGTAGGTTGCCTGTTCACTCTAATGATAGTTTTTTTTTTTTTTTTTTTTTTTTTGCTGTGAAGAAGCTCTTTAGTTTAGTTAGATCCCATTTGTCAATTTTGGCTTTTGTTGCAATTGCTTTTGGTATTTTCGTCATGAAGTCTTTACCCATGCCTATGTCCTGAATGCTATTGCCTAGGTTTTCTTCTGGGGTTTTTATGGTTTTAGGTTTTACATTTAAGTCTTTAATACATTTTGAGTTAATTTTTGTGTAAGGTGTAAGGAAGGGGTCTGGTTTCAGTTTTCGGCCTATGGGTAGCCAGTTTTCCAAGCACCATTTATTAAATAGGGATTCCTTTCCCCATTGCTTGTTTTTCTCATATTTGTCGAAGATCAGGTGGTTGTAAGTGTCTGATGTTATTTCTGAGGTCTCTGTTCTGTTCCATTGGTCTATATATCTGTTTTGGTACCAACACCATGCTGTTTTGGTTACTGTAGCCTTGTAGTATAATTTGAAGTCAGGTAGCATGATGTCTCCAGCTTTGTTCTTTTTTTCTTAGGATTGTCTTGGCTATATGGGCTCTTTTTTGGTTCCATATGAAATTTAAAGTAGTTTTGTCTAATTCTGCAAAGAAAGTCAGTGGTAGCTTGATGGGGATAGCATTGAATCTATAAATTACTTTGGGCAGTATGGCCATTTTCACAATATTGATTCATCCTATCCATGCGCATGGAAGTTTTTTTTCCATCTGTTTGTGTCCTGTCATTTTTATTGAGCAGTGGTTTGTAGTTCCTGAAGAGGTCCTTCATGTCCCTTGTAAGTTGTATTCCTAAGTATTTTATTCTCTTTGTAGCAATTGTAAATGGGAGTTCACTCATGATTTGGCACTCTGCTTGTCTATTATTGTTGTATAGGAATGCTTGTGATTTTTGCACATTGATTCTGTATCCTGATACTTTACTGAAGTTGTTTATTGGCTTAAGGAGTTTTTGGGCTGAGATAATGGGGTTTTCTAAATACACAATCATGTCATCTGCAAATGGAGCAATTTGACTTCCTCTCTTCCTATTTGAATAACTTTATTTCTTTCTCTTGCCTAATTGCCCTGGCCAGACCTTCCAATATTATGTTGATTGGGAGTAGTGAGAGAGGTCATCCTTGTTTTGTGCCAGTTTTCAAAGGGAATGTTTCCAACTTTTTCCTATTCAGTATAATGTTGGCTATGGGTTTTTCATAAGTAGCTCTTATTATTTTGAGACTGGTTCTATCAATACCTAGTTTATTGAATTTTTAGCAAGAAGGGATATTTAATTTTATCGAAGGCCTTTTCTGCATCTATTTAGATAATCATGTGATTTTTGTTATTGGCTCTGTTTATGTGATGGATTACATTTATTGATCTGTGTATGTTGAACCAGCCATGCATTCCAGGGATGAAGCCGACTTGATCGTGGTGGATAAGTTTTTTGACGTGCTGCTGGATTCGGTTTGCCAGTATTTTATTGAAGATTTTCACATCGATGTTCATCGGGGATATTGGCCTGAAATTTTTCTTTGTTGTTGTGTCTCTGCCAGGTTTTGATATCAGGATGATGCTGGCTTCATAAAATGAATTATGGAGGAGTCCCTCTTTTTCTATTGTTTGGAATAGTTTCAGAAGGAATGGTATCAGCTCCTCTTTGTACCTGTGGTAGGATTTGTCTGTGAATCTGTCAGGTCCTGGGCTTTTTTTGGTTGGTAGGCCATTAATTTCAGAACTTGTTATTGGTCCGCTTAGGGATTTGACTTCCTCATGGTTTAGTCTTGGGAGGGTATATGTGTCCAGGAGTTTATCCACTTCTTCTAGATTTTCTAGTTTATTTGTGTAGAGGTGTCTATAGAATTCTCTGATGGTAGTTTGTATTTCTGTGGGATCAATGGTGATATCCCCTTTATCACTTTTGATTGTGTCTATTTGATTCTTCTCTGTTTTCTTCTTTATTAGTCTAGCTAGCAGTCCATCTATTTTGTTAATCTTTTCAAAAAACCAGCTCCTGGATTCATTGATTTTTTGAAGGGTTTTTCATGTCTCTATCTCCTTCAGTTCTGCTCTGATCTTAGTTATTTCTTGTCTTCTAGCTTTTGAATTTGTTTGCTCTTGCTTCTCTAGCTCTTTTAATTGTTATGTTAGGGTGTCAATTTCAGATCTTTCCAGCTTTCTAATGTGGGCATTTACTGCTACATAATTCTCTCTTAACACTGCTTTAGCAGTGTCCCAGAGATTCTGGTATGTTGTCTCTTCTTGTTGGTTTCAAAGAACTTCTTGATTTCTGCCCTAATTTCATTATTTACCTAGTAGTCATTCTGGAGCAGGTTGTTCAATTTCCATGTAGTTGTGCACTTTTGAGTGAATTTCTTAATCCTGAGTTCTAATTTGATTGCACTGTGGTCTGAGAGACTGTTTGTTATGATTTCCGTTCTTTTTCATTTGCCAAGGAGTGTTTTACTTCCAATTATGTGGTTGATTTTAGAATTAGTACTATATGGTGCTGGGAAGAATAATATTCTGTTGATTTGGGATGGAGAGTTCTGTAGATGTCTATTATGTCTGCTTGGTCCAGAGCTGAGTTCAAGTTTTGAATATCCTTGTTAGTTTTCTGTCTTGTTGGTCTGTCTAATATTGATAGTGGGATGTTAAAATCTCCCACTATTATTGTGTGGGAGTCTAAGTCTCTCTTGTAGGTCTCTAAGAACTTGTTTTATGAATCTGGGTGCTCCTATATTGGGTGCATATATATTTAGGATAATTAGCTCTTCTTTTTGAATTGTTCTTTTTATCATTATGTAACGCCCTTCTTTGTCTTTTCTTATCTTTGCTGGTTTAAAGTCTGTTTTGTCAGAGACTAGGATTGCAAACCCTGATTTTTTCTTTTTTATTTTGCTTTCCATTTGCTTGGTACATTTTCCTCCAGCCCTTTATTTAAGCCTATGTGTGTCTTTGCAAAAGAGACCAAAAAACCTATGTGTGTCTCCTGAATACAGCATTCTGATGGGTCTTGACTCTTCATCTTTGCCAGTCTGTGTCTTTTAATTGGGGCATTTAGCCCATTTACATTTAAGGTTAATATTGTTATGTGTGAATTTGATTCTGTCATCATGATCCTAGCTGTTTATTTTGCATGTTAGTTGATGCAGTTTCTTCATAGTGTCATTAACCTTTATATTTGGTGTGTTTTTGCAGTGGCTGGGACCAGTTTTTCCTTTTTATATTTAGTGCTTCCTTCAGGAGCTCTTATAAGGCAGGCCTGGTGGTGACAAAATCCCTCAGCATTTGCTTGTCTGGAAAGGATTTTATTTCTCCTTCACTTATGCAGCTTAGTTTGACTTGATATAAAATTCTGGGTTGAAAAGTCTTCTCTATAAGAATGTTATGCTGAACGTGGTGGCTCAAGCCTGTAATCCCAGCACTTCAAGAGGCGGAGGCGGGCAGATCACGAGGTCAGGAGATCGAGACCATCCTGGCTAAAGCAGTGAAACCCCGTCTCTACTAAAAATACAAATAAATTAGGCGGACGTGGTGGCAAGTTCCTGTAGTCCCAGCTACTCAAGAGGCTAAGGCAGGAGAATGGCATGAACCTGGGAGGCAGACGTTGCAGTGAGCCGAAATGGCACCACTGCACTCCAACCTGGGCAACAGAGTGAGACTCTGTCTCAAAAAAAAAAAAAAAAAAAAAAAAAGAATGTTGAATATTAGCCCCCACTCTCTTCTGGTTTGTAGGGTTTCTGCAGAGAGATCCGCTGCTAGTCTTATGGGCTTCTCTTTGTAGGTAACCTGACCTTTCTGTCTGACTGCCCTTAACATTTTTTTCTTTGTTTCAACCTTGGAGAATCTGACGATTATGTGTCCTAGGGTTGCTCTTCTTGAGGAGTATCTTAGTGGTGTTCTTTGTATTTCCTGAATTTGAATGTTGGCCCATCTTGCTAGGTTGGGGAAGTTCTCCTGGATAATATCCCGAAGTGTGTTTTCCAACTTGGTTCCATTCTCCTCATCACTTTCAGGTACACAATCATTCATAAGTTTGGTCTTTTCACATGGTCCCATATTTCTTGGAGGCTTTGTTCATTCCTTTGTATTATTTTTTTCTCAAATCTTGTCTTCATGCTTTATTTCGGTAAGTTGATCTTCAATCTTGATATCCTTTCTTCCGCTTGATTGATTCAGCTATTGATACTTGTGTACACTTCATGAAGTTCTTGTGCTGTGCTTTTCAACTCCATCAAGTCATTTGTGTTTCTCTCTAAACTGGTTATTCTAGTTAGTAGTTCCTGTAACTTTTATCAAGGTTCTTAGCTTCCCTGCATTGAGTTAGAACATGCTCTCTTACCTCAGAGGAGTTTGTTATTACCCACCTTCCGAAGCCTACTTCTGTCAATTCGTCAATCTTATTCTCTGTTCAGTTTTCATTTGCCAAGGAGTGTTTTACTTCCAATTATGTGGTTGATTTTAGAATTAGTACTATGTGGTGCTGAGAAGAATAATATTCTGTTGATTTGGGGGTGGGATTCCCTTGCTGGAGAGGAGTTGAGATCATTTGGAGGAGAAGAGGCATTCTGGTTTTCGTAATTTTCAGCGTTTTCGCACTGGTTTTTCCTCATCTTCAAGGATTTAGCTACCTTTGATCTTTGAGGTTGATGACCTATGGATGGGGTTTTTGTGTGGGGGTTTTTTTTTTGTTGTTGTTGTTGATGTTGATGCTGCTGCTTGCTGTTTGTTAGTTTTCCTTCTAACAGTCAGGCCTCTCTTTGGCAGGTCTGCTGCAGTTTGCTGGAGGTCCACTCAAGATCCTGTTCACCTGGGTATCATCAGCAGAGGCTGCAGAAGAGCAAAGATTGCTGCCTCCTCCTTCTTCTGGAAGCTTCATCCCAAAGGGGTGCCTGCCAGATACCAGCTGGAGTTCTCCTGTGTGAGGTGTCTGTCGACCCCTGTTGGGAGGTCTCTCCCAGTCAGGAGTCACGGACATCAGGGGCCCACTTGAGGAGGTAGTCTGTCCCTCAGCAGAGCTGGTGCACTGTGCCGGGAGAATTCCTCTTGTCAGAATAAGTTGCTCTCTTCAGAGCCAGTAGGCAGGAGAGATTAAATCTGCTGAAGCTGTGCCTATAGCCACCCCTTCCCCCAGGGTCTCTGTCCCGGGGAGATGGTAGTTTTTTCTGTAAGCCCCTGACTGGGGCTGTTACCGTTCCTTCAAAGACGCCCTGCCCAATGAGGAGGAACCTAGAGAAGCAGTCTGGCCACAACCACTTTGCCATGCTGTGGTATATTTCACCCAGTCCACATCTTCTAGCCTCCTTAGCAGTGTCAGGGGAAAACAGCCTACTAAAGCCTCAGTAATGGTGGACACCTCTCTCCATCCAAGCTTGATTATCCCAGGTCAACTTCAGACTGCTGTGCTGGCAGTGAGAATTTCAAGTCAGTGGTTCTTAGCTTGCTGGGCTCCACAGGAGTGGAACCTACTGAGCGAGACAACTTGGCTCCCTGGCTTCAGCCCTCTTTCCGAGGGATTGAATGGTTTCTGTCTCACTGGTGCCACTGGGGTATGAAAAAAACTCCTGCAGCTAGCTCAGTGTCTGCCCAAACAGCTGCCCAGTTTTGTGCTTGAAACCCAGGGCCCTGGTGGTGTAGGCACACGAGGGAATCTCCTGATCTGCAGATTGCAAAAAAACATGGGAAGAACATAGTATCTGGGCCAGGTAGCACAGTCCCTCATGGCTTCCCTTGGCTGTGGGAAGGAGGTCCCCCAGGCTCCTTGCACTTACCACCCTGCTTCTGCTCTCCCACCATAGGATGCAACCACTGCCTAACCAGTCCCAGTGAGATGAATTGGGTACCTCAGTTGGAAATGCAAAAATCACTCACCTTCTGCGTTGGCCTCACTGGGAGCTGCAGACCGGAGCTGTTCCTATTCGGCCACCTTGGCCCCTCCTCCAAGAACAAGATTATCACATGATACCACTTCTATTTCTTGTAACTGTGACTGTCCTTTATTGCTTTATACTGAGTCCCAAGCCTGTTTCCCTACTGGTGAACTCCTTGGAGGCTGTGGTAGCAGAATTTTAAGATGGCCCCCAAGATTCTTGTCCTGTATGTGCACAAACCTTCTCCCAGTTCTTTAAATCCTAATCTAGGTGTAGCTGTGAAGGCAGTTTTGAAGATGTAATTAAGTCCCAAATCAACTGACCTTTAGATAGCGAGATTATCTAAATGGATTTGACCTAATCATTTCAACTCTTTAAAAGCAAAGACTTTTGCCCAGCTGGTCACAGAAGTTGGAATCATAGATTTGAAGCATGAAGGATTCATTGCACCATTGCTGGCTAGGAGATGGAGGATATCAAATAGCAAGAAATGTGGGTGGCATTTAGGTGCTGAGGTATGCCCCTTCCTGACAGATAGCAAAAAAACTGAGATCAAAAAGATCAATACTTCAACCTGAGAGACTGAATCCAGCCAACAGCCTGAATGAGCCTGGAAGTGGATTTTTTTCCTAGCACCTCAAGATGAGAACTGAGCCTGGCTGACGCTTTCATTGCAGCCTTCCGATATCCTGAGCAGGGAGCCCACTCATGCTGTGACAGACTTCTGAACTACAGAACTATTAGTTAATATATAAGTGCAATTTAAATCTCTAAATTTGCATAGATTTGCTACAAAGCTGCATAAAAATAAGAGAGGCACAGAAATCACATCTTGTATATCTTTATAGTCATGGCTTCTGTGTAATAAATTCTCAAACCTGTTTTTAAGAAAGAATGGGAAGAAGGATGGGAAGGAAGGAGAAATAGAGGAAGAAAGGAAGGCAAAAAATACAAAGGAACAAAAGAAAAAAAAAGAGAAAAACATTTTAGCTTCCAGAAGAGTGGTTCTCTACTTGAGTTTTGCACTATCATCACATAAGGAGTTTTAAAAAATATTAATGACTGCGTCCCACCTTTAGCAATCCTGATTTAATTAGTCTAGGTGTGGCCCGGGCATCAGAATTTTAAAAATCTCCCCAGATGATCCTAACATGCAGCCAAGGTTAAGAACTACTACTGCTCTGGTCACTCTTATGTGAGTTAATGCCTAGGAAACTGCAGCTCAGCCAGGACTTCTGTAGATCAAGACCCCTGTGGAGACTGGTTGGGTTTTCAAGGTCAACCTCTAGAAAGCTCTTAGTTCCTAACTGTGTCCTATTCCACAGTTAGCGCTTCATAAGTTGTTAATGGGCCTCACTCCAGGAGATATTCATTCTTCTCTCCTTTCACAGGCTCCTTAGGTTAGGTTTAAATCATAATCCCTTGGTATTTTAATAACTTTCCAGCTTCTTTCACATTACAGGATTTTTGGGCCCTGCTGATCACAAAATTTTCCTCTGCAAGGTTCCCAACATCTATCCAAAGAGAAATCTTCAGTAATGCTCTGATTAGAAAAGGTGAATGTCATTATCTGGGTACTGTCCTTATCTATCATCAACACCTAGATATCTTTCTCAGTTTAAAAAAAATTAATTTAAGAGCTAATCAGAATTCTTTGAGATAGCGATGTATAACGGAAAGAAAACTATACTGGGATTCTGAGCTCCAATTCTGGTTCTGCCCTTTGTTAACTGCATAATATTGGGAAGATAGTTAAACCACTATCAATGGTGGTTTGTCATCACTAAAATGGAAAAGTCTATATTTAACTCATATAATTGATATTGGACTTTTTAGGGTCAAAAAGTACCATCCTAAAGTATGATGCTTTGGCATGCTGAGTACTTTGAACTAAAGGAGGCTGGAAAGTATCAGAAGCAGCCTCAGAAGCAAAGTGTCTCTGATCTTTTCCTGCCTTCCTGTCTCCTGCCCCCTTTTCTCCCCAGAAGCAAGTCATAGAAACCAGAATTTCTCCTTTCCAAGGTGGATCATAGAAACTAGAACCCCTTTCTCCTAAAGCAAGGCATAAAACATAGAAATATAATTTTAACCTTTCCCCATCTCTCTGTGTAGATGGCCACAAAGAAACTCTCTGACCTAACTTGTCTGACCATAGGTCATAAGACCTTCATTCCAGAGGGCTCCTACCCTATACCCAGGAGGAAGGAATGTGGCACAGAGAGGCCAAGGAGAACATAAATGAAGAGGTCTTCTGGGTTCCCCACCCCAGTCTGTTATCATTAGGTCATACCCTTTTGGTCCAGTCACCTTTCTACATGGCTATCCATTCTTCATTGAATCAAAGCATAAAAATAGACATTTTCCCCTGGGTCTTTGGCTTTTCGTTAATGCCATATGGAACTTTGATGAAATAAATTAGTCATGCTTTTCTCTTGTTAACATGTCTTTTGTTATAGGAGTGTTAGTTGTGACCCTTATGATAGATGAGGAAAAGTATCATACCTTTCTGTTTCTACAGACTCATAACATGATTATATGAAGGTTTTTTACAACTGCTTAAATGTGTGTGTGTGTGTGTGTGTGTGTGTGTACACACATATATTCAGATTGAACAAATCCACTTGAGTATGTTTCTGGCATTTTACTCGGACTTTCTTTAGAAAAAATGTAAAATATTTTAATAAATGCTTTTCTTGGTGAGGTTAAGAATGATAAATGAGTAGAATGCTGTACTTAGAATGAATATATCATATATTTAAATGGTGCTAATTCTTAAGTCCAGTTGGCTTTTCAAAGATATCTCAGCAGGAAGAGGGAAAGGGTCTTCCATGTAAGTTTTAAACAAGTCTCTCATAGAGCATATTTTATGTGTTAGAAACTCGGGGAATATAGAGATTAATGATCTAATTAAATATGCAAAGCAGCCCTCTGAGGCAGGTATTTTTACTCCCAGTTTTGCAGATAAAAACATTGAAACAAGCTGGGCATGGTTGGCTCACGCCTGTAATCCCAGCACTTTGGGAGGCCGAGGCAGGCGGATCAAGAGGTCAGGAGATCAAGATCACGGTGAAACCCCATTTCTACTAAAAAAAAAAAATACAAAAAAAAAAATTAGCCAGGGGTGGTGGCGGGTGCCTGTAGTCCCAGCTACTTGGGAGGCTGAGGCTGGAGAATGGCATGAACCTGGGAGGCGGAGCTTGCAGTGAGCTGAGATGGCACCACGGCACTCCAGCCTGGGGCGACAGAGAGAGACTGTCTCAAAAAAAAAAAAAAAAAACATTGAAACAAAGATCAATTTGAGATTGGTCAAGGACATACTTTTAGTTAGTCATGGGCCTGAGATTTCAACTCAGTGCTCTTTGGCCTGCCAACAAAACCAACATACATGGTTTGGGTTGCCACTCTTGCCTTGGGGCAACATCAAATTATAAATAAAAAAACTAATGGAACACCATCCTTGAGGCTAAGAGGGAGTGATGGCAACATGATGGAATAAAGAGTTGTCCATTTCTAATGTGAAATCCAGCAGGGGAAGACTTCAGCAGCTGGAACCATTGGCCAGGAAGGATCAGAGTTCCATGGGAGAGGTAAGGGAGAGGGTAGCTGAAAAGAAGACTGAATAGAAAGACCCTTAGAATGTGCTAGGTTATTTTTGCTGTTGTTGTCCCTATATATTATTGCAATGTTTCTCAAGGTTGAGGGTGCAGCAGACTCCCTTAGAGGACCTATCAAAACATAGATTGTGAGTCTTGCTCTGAAAGTATCTGATTCTGGGTCTAGGTAAGGCCAGAAGATTCACATTTCTAACAAATTTCCGCTGATGCTGATGATGCTAACCTGGGGATCAAAGTTTGAGAACCACTGTACTAGAAACACACAGCTATGTCTGATAGGACCAGCAGATCTCTTTAAATACCCAGGTCACTGCAAGATGGAGTAGAGCAGAGTTTAAGAGTAGGAGCACTGCAGCTAGATTGTGTTGCTTTAAAGGCCACACTATCATTTACCAGATGGTTGATGTTGGGCAATTTAGTTATGCGTGCTCAGGATGGATAGATGATAGATGATAGATAGATAGATAGATAGATAGATAGATAGATAGACAGATAGATAGGTAGATAGATGTATCCAAATTTATGACACATTGCTTGGAACATAGGAAACCATAAGCTAGTTATCATTAAGCATCATGTGTCAGGGGCATGGTGTGGGGGACACAGGGATGACCCACCCAAAACCCTCTTCAAGGAGCACTTGTTGCTCAGTTATAGGGGGTGCTGCCACCAGGCACATTCCAGCTGCCAGTTGCCTCAGCTACAGAGAGCCACTTCATCTAAGGTAATGGGCTCCTCAGGCAGCAACATCCAATGACTGTTGAGGCACAGGTAAAAATGCATAGTCATTTTGGCCTAATACAGGATAATTCTGACAGTCAATTCAGATCAGATCTTCCTGTGGGATCAGCTAAGACCGCTCAGCCTTCTCCTTTGCTCAGTCCTACTTCCTTCCTTTTCTTTCATGGGACTTGGTCCCAAGAACTCTCCCATCTGAACGTACTGCACACTAAACTACATCTCAGGGTTGGCTTCCCAGAGAACATGACCTGCATCATTTTAATACCTTTGAGGCCAAAGATGTGAGACTTGGGGGAAAGAACACAATATAAAATAAACAAAGACCAATGCAAGAGTGTTGCATTTAATCATAACAAAATACCTATATGGTCATTGTTATTATCCATGATATAGAGATAAGGAAATAGATTTACAGAAAATCCAAATTCATATTGAGTAATTTTCATGAATGAAACCTGGTGTGTCTGACTGAAGGTTGTGCTCTCATACAATGTACTTTTCTGCTCTGTTTTTTTTTTTTAATTAAAGAAAAATAGAAGCAGCATTTTTCACAATGTGAGAGACTTGGGGCTTGGAAAAGGTTTCCCAATTCAAGCAGGTGAAGCCCTGCCTGGAAACCTGCTACAACCCTTACAAAAGAAATTGTTCTTTAGTGACAGGAGACTTTGGTATTCACTGGTGTTAGGAACTGCTAAGTTAAGTAGTACTCTCTTCACTGCGGGCTCTGAGAAAGGAGGGCTCTGTTATTCATGAAGAGGTGACATTTGACTAGGACCCAGGATCCATGAATTTTTTGAATAGCCATATGTTGCTCATTCAGATCCCAGCATAAGATACATAGAAGGTACACTCCAACCAAATGCAAGCATTTTATTACCCTGTGGGACATTGGTCTCTGACCCTGTATGAAAACTACAGCACTGTTGAGCTAAACAGGAACAACTTTGGCTTACAGTGGGCAGATATGAGAGGCCCAGATCAAAGGAAGACTGTGGCCCCTTGCTACCTTACCCCAGAAACACAGCCTAATCTTGGGCCTCTAAACATTATCACTCCAGTGATGAGAAGAGACAATAGAAGATAAAACCGGAGAAAGAAAACTCAGAGTAAAACCTAAAATCTGGGGCACTTGGCTGAATCCTTTTCCCATTCCCCTACACCTTATCATAATAGTATAATCTGGGCTCTGTTTATTTTTTCTATTAATTATATAGTAGGAAGGTAATATTTCATACTTCCATGTAAAAACTCTGGGAAGGGAAAATAAAGAAATAATTCTTGGGGATGAGACCTTCCCTCCCCAGCAAAGAAAGTCCCTACATAAAACTGACCTTTTTAATCCCTTTGTTCAGTATACCAAAAATTCTATCCCCCAAACACCATAACCTAAGAATGTACTTGAATATCACTGTCCCATATTGGCACTTTTCCTTTGGGAGAGAAGAGATGGCCATTTCAATAACTCCTGGAAGACAGGAGCCCCACAGGTGACAGACATAAGACGTATTGCTGGCAAGTGACAACACAGTCTCAGTTTCTGAAGAAAAGCAGGTGTGAGTTGACTTCAGGGTTGACTTGTATTTCTCTTTTCATAGCACAAATACTCTTCTTACCTCCACCTTCCCTTCCTTTTCCCTCCATTATGGTTCACCTCCCTCTCTCACTTCCTCTCTTTCTTCCTTGCATTCATCTGTTATTTCTTCTTTCTTTCCTTATTGCCAGTTCCTTCCTTCCAAAAGCATTAGATAAATATCTTTGAGAAGAAATACTGTGTAGAGGTTAAGACTAGAGTTAAAATAAGAAGAACATCTGCTTTACACATTTAATATGGGACTGAGTGCAAATAACTTAGCCTGGGTGACCCTCAATTGCCTTATCTGAAAAATGCACAAGGTAATTTTGGTACCTACCTCCATAGGTTGCTTGCAAGATTAAACAAGATAATATGCATAATTTTCACAATGTCTAATCCAGATAAATCAGTTTAACTCAGTATTTACTATCATTATTTTGAATATTAATTGTTAATATGAATAGAAGCAATAGCAGTGTTATCCTTTTTTTTTTTTTTTTTTTTTTTTTTTTGAGATGGAGTTTTGCTCTGTTGTCCAGGCTGGAGTGCAATGGCGCGATCTCGGCTCACTGAAACCTCTGCCCCACGGGCTTAAGAGATTATCCCTGCTCAGCCTCCTGCATAGCTGGGATTACAGGCACCTGCCATCATGCCCTGTTAATTTTTGTATTTTTGTAGAGACAGGGTTTCACCATGTTGGTCAGGCTGGTCTCAAACTCCTGAACTCAGGTGATCCACCTGCCTCGGCCTCCCAAAGTGTTGGGATTACAGGCGTGAGCCACCACACCTGGCGAGTAGTGCTATTATTGACCTGACAATGGACTAGGCACTGATGATAAAAAGACAAATTAAACATGGAAGTGACTTTATGAAACTTCTTTCTTAGTCCTGCCATAACAGCACTAAACATCACAAATGTCTCATGTGTAAAATAAGCTATTTTATAATTCAACAGTCATTCTCAACCCATGTGCATCAGAATAACCTAGAATGCCTTAAGACTACCTTTACTTGAGCTCTGTATCTCCTCACAACTCACCCCTGGAAATCTGATTCCACGGGTCTGGGGTAGAGCCAGGCACTGTTATTTTTAATAATCTCCATGAGTGATTATGATGCAGACTCACAAATGTGCCACCAGGAGTTGGCCAAACCAGTGTGGGTAAAGAATCTAAATGTGTGGGTAGCAAGTCTCCTTTAACAAGTTTAACAATCGGTTTCATTGTTGCTGTTTAAATCTGTAAGATCTTTGGTCATGAGGCAGTACAGTGTTATAGGCTTTGGCATCCAAAAGGCTAGGCTTGCTTTCTAGCTCTTATTCTACTAAGTTTTCTATTTATCTATGAAACAGGAAAAAATAAGAATAGGATCTATATCATAGGGTTATGATAAGGATAAAACAAGTGGCTGTACAAGGCGACATCAGAGAGGTAGGTAAGCTTCCGTTTATCTAGTGTCTTGCAGGATATAGAATGCACTTGGATTTTACATTTTTGATAATTATTATTATTATTACTACTACACCCAGAAGTGTGTGTATTAAGAGAATCAGAGATTCTAGCTGAAGGAAGAAATAACCACGTTTTCACCAAAAGAAAAAGTTTGCGTTTATAGCAATTAAATAATTCCCTCTAACAGTGTGACAAGGTAAAGAGGCGGAAGATCATAATTTAGAAAGTCCAGCTGCATTTCTTTAAAATCCGTTGACTGTATAAGTAATTTAAATATAAAAACAGGCATAGCAGTTCTAATCTACAATGCATCCCCCCTCCAAAACCCCCTACACACATTGCCAGCCCACCTGTGTTTGGCACATTTCCATGGTAACTGTCATGCTATTTAACTGCTAGATTGTGTTGTTAATATGGTGATTTAACATTTTCCATGTGGGTTAAACTGAATACAAAAGGCTGCTACTGCTTAGTCATGTAGGATAAATTTTATGGAATTCTCAATAGTTTCACTAAACCATGTTTTTTCATCATTTTAAAACAGCTTATTATTATTATTATTATTATTATTATTATGGTGAAATCAAGAATTCAGCTCAGAATGGTGCTTGAAATGTGCTTGTCTCCTAGGGGAATATTTTTTCAAAATGGCAGTCTGGCTTTAAGTGTATTCTAACCCCTTAGAAAGAGGAGCGGGGGAGAAGGGGAAGAGGTGGTACAGTCAAAGGCCTGGAAGGAGGTATCAGGATTGCAGATATAGAACCAAGAGTCTGACGCTAATGACATATGGATGGGAAAGTAGTTGAAAACATTTACCAAATGATAGTGATAAGACTGGTTATTTCAAAATCACCTGGGGAACTTTAAAAAAGTACAGAATCTCAGGGTCCATCTTTGCCTGTTGCAAAGATTCTAATTCCATTGGTGCGGGGTAAGGCTTGGAAATCTATATTATTTGAAAGCTTCCCAGGCTATTTCAATCTTCTCCACTTTGATAACACTGCCTTCCAGCAGTGCATACTAAAGTATGGTCCCCAGAACACTTGCATAGGATCACCCAGGGAAACTGCTAAAAATTCAGATTCCTGGGCTCCATTTCTGTTCTAGTAAATCATAAAGACAGGCTACAGGATCAAGAATCTGAATTTTTAATTAGCATTCTCTGAGTAAGTCTTATAAAATTAAGGTGATTTGCTGCAGAGTTGAATTACACACTCTGCTTTTAGGTGCAAGCAGTCGATTCCTATAGGATCCCCTCAGCCACCTCAGGTAATTGTTCTTTTTAGATTTTACTATTAATTCCCTCACCAATAAGGAGATCCTGAGATCTACAAATTAGTAACAAGTCAGCTACTTGGAGAGCCTTAGGGGTACCTGCAGCCAGCGGATCACTTTAGACCTGAAAGTTCTGGATATGATGAAAAGTGCAGCGGCTCTGATGTCAGAGAGAACTTGACTTGAAACCTGGCTCTGCAAAACTTCCAGGCAGTGTAACCCTATTACAGCACTAAAGCACTCAACTGCCCAAAGCTTCAGGTGCAATATGTGTTAAGAAGGGAAAAATAATATCTTGTAACAGGGTCGTGTTAGGAGGAAGCAGTCCCCTGTCGCACAGTACTGTACGTGGTACTCAATAAATAAGTGTAAAAGACAGAGAGAAAGAAAGAGAGGAGGGAAAGAGGGGAGAAACAGAGAAGAGAGAAACAGAAAGATAGGCATAAAGGCACTTTGGGGACCTTCGGAAATGTAAAGACAGCAAAGATCATTAAGGAGACTTAATGATCTTTTTAGAAGATCATTATAAGAACTTTTTAGAAGAACTTAAGCAAAGATCATTGTAGAAGACTCTATTGATGACGTAGATACTGCATCCATCAGATCACAGAAGTTAGATGAAGACTCTAGCTAAGTCTAAGGCTGACTGAGAGAGAAGATATTCCACAAAGCTTTTCTCTGAACCACAGTACTGCAATGCTTTATCTAGGCCACTGCCTTCCAACACCATGGCAACGCATGTAACAAAACAGATTGGAGAAGAGGTTGCTGATTCTTATCCAGAGGGGTGGGAGTGCTTTGTCTCCTTAGCTACTCCATGATCCACAGCACTAACAAGAATATCCAGGCTTGAGATTTAAAGATAACAAGTTACCTTAATTTTATACATCAATAGGAAATGGCAGTAAGAAAATATACCTGCCCCTGGCTACAAACTGAGTCACAAAAGGCTCAACTGACCGCAAATAAAAGTGCTTTAGCTAAGGTATTCTAAGTGGTAAGGGGAACATAGGGACAAAGTAAAGGGGAGAATAGGACCAACAAGAAATCTGTCTATGGCCATTCACAGCTATTCCGTTTCAGGAGATGATGTTAGTCAATGTGGGTGGGATCAGGGCACACATTCAAATATATCCTGTCTCATTATGTTTCAGCTCAGAATATTATGAATAATATTTAAGAAGCATCATTTGGCCTCTGCAACTTAAACTCATGAATATTTTTCAAGGCAAGAATGAAGACAAATAAAATGTGTTGTTCCAGAAACAAATAATCTACATTCATTTTCTTCCTTTTCCAAGAACCCAGACTGAAAACTTAGGGCTTAGAAAGCACAAATCATTCCCTAGTTATTTGAATCTTACTTTGTAAAATAGCCTTCTGTTGTTTCATTCAGCAGGCATGTATAAAACATTAAAGACCTTAAATAGAATAAATAAGTTTTAATAAATTATGGAGGTCTTTATTGAACTTAATTATAAGCAATTAGCTTTTATCTTACTAAAAAAATATTTTCTTTTTTGAATTCCCTCTGAAAATAACCTGGCCTAGCAATCTAGAAGAAACTAAATAAACATTTCCCTGTCAGAGGCCATGAAAGAACATGCCCATGGAACTAAATAGCTGATCACTATGGCATTTCTAGCTGCTATTCCAATTATTATTTCTGTATCACTGTTACTTTCCAAGTTAGCAGGGCAGCATCACCTGGGAAAGTTATAGATGCAGATTCTTAAAGGATCTATTTATAAGGTACAGATGCCTCAGCCCAGGGAGCTCAGCATCATGGTCCAGCAGGGAGCGTCAAGTGCCCACATAATGCAGTGCAAGTGGCTTCTTCCGCCACCGCCCTCCAAGCTCCTCACATCCTATGTGGCATCTTCAGAGGGGAGATATATGGTAGGAGGGAAGAGTGTACATTTCCACTTAGAACAGCCCCCTCAGCTGACGAATTTGTATCTTGAACAATGAGCGCTGCCCTCCTCTGTTGCTCAGAGCCATGAGTAGTGCACAAGAGCTGGGAAGCTGGGGGAAAGCTCTGGATGGTGTGGGCTGCATTGTAGACAAGCCTGCTCAAGCCCTGACTGTTGAGCATGAAAATTTATGTATTTATTACCTTTTACAATACCAACTTCTAATCTGCCCAAAAGAATTTTCTTTTGAAGCATACAAAGAGAGTTAATAGACTCAGGGATACAATCTGTTCTTCAAGCACTGGGCTCCCTTTTATCCTGATGATACAAAAGTTTCCTCTTTTTGAAAAATCTACATTTAAGTGGTGGAGTCCCAGGTAACTCCTTGGATTGAAGTTACTGCTAAAGCTACTCAGGTAATATGACTATAATGATCACAGACATTGCCTTCTTATTATGAGAGAGAAAAGGAAAGAAAAGAACAGTTACAAAGCATCTTACCTCTCATTGTATAACTCTTGGCTCTGTCAGCTTGCTTGGTCACTCACGGTGAGTCACTTAACTTCCCTGGGCCTCTGACTCAGGGTTTATAAAATGAAAAACATAGAAGATCTTACTTATTGGTAAGGTTTGTTTCTGCTTTGAGATTCCCTAAATCTATGTTCTACTCGCTTATATTTCCTTACCCCTACTATTGTTCTATCATCTTGCAGTAGTGATAACAATGCCTTATTCGGTGCCATTGTGTATTATTTTATTTACACACACACACACACACACACATATATGAATATGAACTAGATGGGATAAGGGTGTCCTCATAATAGATGAGAAAGCTCAAGGTTTAGAGACGCTAAGCAATTTGTTCAAGGTCACGTGGCCAGTAAGTGACCAAGCTTGAATCGAAACCTGTCTGTTTATCTTCAAGACCTGTATTCACAGTTTCTATGCTAGGTCACCTCTCTTTTTATAGAGTAGTTGGTACATGAAGCCTTTTTCTGTATAATGTCTTTAATGGACCAGGCCAACTGTGCAGGCATGTTTCTATGGGCTGAGCAAAAAGAAATGGTATCAAACATAGGCACAACTTCAACTGTTCTGATTAAGCCTTCACAGGGTCCACCAGGAGGATAATGATTTCCAATAGCAAATACAGTATGAGTATCAAAAGTGCTATATCTCTATCAATATATTTCTGTATCTCTACCTATGTATCATAGATCTATCCTCTCCCATATTCCCCTGTTGTAGAGGCATTTGCAGCATTCTGGGGTAAAAGTTTGTTTTGAAAATTGATTTAGTAAATATTATTTTGTGAGTATATTAGCTAGCATGTAGATAATTTAGGAAATATATTAATGTTTGAACTCCTAGAGTAGAAATTCAAAGCCAGCCATCTGAGAAGCAACAGCTTGACTATTATAAAAGAAGCCACATTTTTTTAAAAGTCAAAGCTTCTCCTGTATAAAAGCAACTCAAAAAATATTTGAGTATTAATTTTAAAAAATACTTTAAAAGCTAAATAGACTTTTTCTCCCAATAGACAGAAGAAACAACTGATTGAAATCTGTATTAACAATATTATACTTTGCCAGAGGAAAAACATAGACTACCCAGGACTAATGAGAATGAAATCAAGCTCTTAGCATTCATACAATAGATGAATTACAGTGCTCTGAATTCTGCTCTATTATCTGTTATCCCCTGACCTCACCAGTTCTATCTCAATGCAGAGGGCAGCTCAGCATTTCTCCAGCCAGAAATATACACTCAATCTTGCAAGAGAATGAGTGAATTATTTCACAGAAACATTTAGCATATCAACATCACTGGATCCTGTTTAATATCTTTGTTGTTGCTCCTTTTCATTTTCTACTGCACTTGTACATTCTACAATGTTTAAGGACTAGATAATGTTATTGACCATTGGATTTCTCAATAAGAAAATATCTATTCTAGAAAATACTAATTTTAGAAAATATCTCTTTCTAAACAGACCAAGAGAATTAAAAATGACATCTATGCTTTTATTTTTTTCATTTTCTTTATAACTAGGGAAGAATGTGCTAACCTGTAAGCTCTGTAAGAACAGGAACTTTTGTCAATTTGGTTTGTTGATGTTTTTTAAGTGCCTAGAATGGTGCCTGGCACACAATAAGCACTCAAAGAATAATCAGTGGAAAGCTGAATAAATAAGTATTATCAGAAAGATAGGCTTATTCCTCCTGAGTCATTTTATGCCCAGTAAGCAAGTCAGAGATTTACTACATTTGGAAACATCTTGCTGTATAAAAATAAAGAAGAATCTGCCTGACAGTTTCAGGTCCTGCTGTCAACAAATTCAAATGACCATACCACCCAGGTACTAATTCTTAAAAGTTCCAGGTATAGCAGACCGTTAGGTTCAGTGTTACAGTCTCTCTGCCAATACAGAAAGTAATTGGCAGTTTCTCTCAATAGAATACTATATCCGGACTCATTTAGATACAAGTAATAGAAGCCATTTCTACCAGCTTAAGGAAAATAAGCGTTTTTATTGTTCAGTTCCAGAGGCAATTTGGAGCAAACAAGGGAAGGATAAATAACCAGACATCATCAGGTTCTGGAACCAGAGCCTCTGTCTCTTTGGAAACGTATGGAGTTTAGTCTCTTATCCTTGTGCATATGCTTTTATTATTCTTTCTCAGTTGAGTGAGCCAAGTGCCTATTACAGTGCCAAGCACATAATGGATATGGCTAAATATTTTTCAATGAACAAATGAATTGGATATCTTTTGGAGAAAAAATGGCTGCATCTAATGGTTTTTGATTTCAGTACTATTGATTCGCTAACTTATTTCTTTGCTTCAGAATTTAAAATTCTTAGGAAATAATCTGGTTGAATCAATTCTGGCAATGCATTGACCCCTTCTGAGGTAGGGGTCTATCTCTTGTCTAATTAGCTCTTACTAGGGGACTAGGATTAACTCTATTGCATTAACAAGGAGGTAGACTCCCAGAAAATGGAAGATAGATTCCCAGAAAATGGAACATTGACTAAACGGATGTTCTACGAGGTGTCTGCTAAAATGGTGGTCAAGTGTTTGCAAAGATTACAGCAATAATTCATGTCTGTAGGCCCTCTGCAGTATGATTTCGTTGTTCCTACCATCAAGAATGAGAATCTATTTCCTGCCCCTTATATCTGAACTGGATTTGTGACTTGCTTTTAGTAACAGAATTTAGGGGAAGTGATGGTGTAAGAGTCTATAAGTCTAAGTCTCAAGAAGCCCGAGCATGTTGTCATCATCATGTGAAGAATCCCACAGTTGTCTGCTGGGTACTGGGGTCTAGGGATGGGGGGAGGTTCCTGTTGTGTGCCAGCAACCATCATCAGTTATGAGAGCAAGGCTGTGCTAGGCCTCCTGGCTGCAACTGAACCATCAGGTGACTGCTGCCATATGAACGACCCCAAGTGAGATTATTAGAAGTACTATGGGAAAATAAATCATTTCAAGCCTCTAAGTTTTCAGGTGGTTTATTATGCAGAAATAGATAATTAATCAAAATTATCATATACTTCAACAACCTTCATTTTTCTTTGAATGGCCAAGATAAAGTTGAATTCTGAATTTGTACTAAGGTTCAAATTTGTAAATTACTACTTATTGAGGTCAGCCTGATTTTAAAAAGTAAAAAATTGACTGGAGAAGAATTAAAATTATCCTTGGTACTTCAATAGAAAGAGACTTAGGTTTATATACCAGTTCCTATGCTTATTACCTTTCCTGATACTTAAGCTCCTTAGACCTCAATTTACCATTTCAATAGGAACAACAATGTGTGTATTTCAGGCAAGAATATGAATGTCATCTACTACACAGTATGCACAACCATTGTTGTGGGAGTCCCGTGAAAATGAAATGAGATAATTCATATAAAATTTATGTAAAACGTGTGGTGCAATGTGTGTTCAGTGTAGGCAAAAACTCTATTTCTCAAAGCACAATGTAAAGTCAATTTGTCTCTGACAGGATTTTAGGTACTAACAAGTAAGTGGAGAAGTTTTGGGGACACAGATGTGCAAAGAACTTTTAACCAAAAAAGCACATCTGTGTGTGTCCTTCTCTATAACCCCCAATAAGATGAATCAGCTTTGCCACTCCATCCCAAGATCTCTTTACAAAAAGAAGTGGCAGCCAAGCTTTCCTTCAGACAAATCACACCCAGACAGCAAATAGCGTAGCATTCTCCTGAGCTCTCTCCTGGGAAACTGTATCCCATAATAGACTCTTTGAAAAGTCTTTTGGTGATCAAGTTGGGAAATGCTTTCAAGTTTATCATCTCTGGGAGATTAATAATTATAGTAGCCTTTAAAGGCCCTGAAAAATCCTGCAGTAAAAAACACACAAAAACAAAAACAGCAAACCTTGTCTAAACAGACATTTCCCCATTTGTTTTAAAAAGGAAGTTATTTTCACCCTTTAATGCCTTTTAACATACCACAGAATTAGTGTGTATCAGAAAACACTGTGGACACCCCAAGACCATTTTACAGAGGAGGACACTGATATCTCAGGGGTACAAAGACTTGCAGGCAGATCACACACTTGACTCTGTACCAGCCAGTCCCTCATTTTCCTTCTTTGGTAAGGGCTTTCCCCAAAAATTCCTTTGGAGGCTTCTCCTACACCCCATTTCTCCTCCCCTGTGTGGTCATTCTCTTGAAGCACATAATGGCCATGGAATCCCTTCACAACCCTGCTCCACAAATGGAGCAGCCTCATGAACAGAACAGCAATTCCATTTGGGCAAGTGCAGAGTGATGGTTTGGTTGGCTTCATCTATCTCTGTTAACGACCTAAGCATATTGCTGTGGCTTATTTATTACAAACAGGGCACAAAAGAAAACCACAGGCCTTCCTCGCAGTCTGGATATTTGCATAAGCCCTGAATCTCTCAACAGAGATGTTTTCTTTGGCCCTGTTGAGTTTTCCTGAGCAGCCAGACGTGACAAGTGTGCTTAACCCACTAGGGAAAGACTAGGAGGTGTAGCTTAGGGAAGATGATGACAATCTTAGGGGACATCTGAGAGGCAGGACTGCCTAGTGTTTAAGACCGTGGACTCTACAGTCAGACTCACCCAGGTTTGAATGTAAATGCTAGCCTCATCACTAGCTTGGGCAAGTTACCTACCATTTCTAACCTCTGTTTCCTCATTTCTGAAATGGTGGTAATAAAAATTTTTACCTTAGGTAGTCACTGAGAGTATTAAGTAAAGCCATGCATATAAAATACTTAACACAGCTTCTGGTTCAGTAAATAATAGTTATTAGTACTAATGTTATTATGGGGGGTTCTAATTTTCTTAACAATATTTATTCATTTATGTAATTGTCTGAATCCTTTCCACATGCCTGGTGCAGTGTTAGTTTGTGAAGATACAGACAAAGGTAATACACTACCTTTCTATTCAAAGACCTCACTTTGTAGTAAAGACAGAAAAGTCAACTGACAATGACCTCAGCTGGTTGCAGTTACTCTAGTAAAGGAAAGCTAACAGGAGGAGTCCACAAGGTCACAGACAGGGAAGGGTAGGCTTCAAGAAGGTGTGACTCTGAATCCTGGAGGATTAAGTGATTTCAGTATCTTGTAGAGAGTTGACCACATAGAAGATATTTTATACCTAGTGGTAATGTAGAAAAGACAGCTGGAGTTAGGCAACTGTGAGGAGAGGCTAAAGCCACATCAGGGGTACAACCAGCTTAAGGGGCAGCATGAGGTCAAGGAGTGCATGACTGAAGCTGCAGCACGTTTCTTCACAGCCAGTACAGAGTGGAGATGAGGTTGGGCAGTTCATATGGTCTCTATTAGATAGATAATTTTATCCCATGCAGAAGGGCTTGGTGTTTAAACTAAAAGATGGTAAGACCATTAGAGGGTTTTAAGCAAGGGCAGGGATGTACACAGAGTTGCTTTTTTTTTTTTAATTTTACTTTAAGTTCTGGGATACATGTGCAGAACATGCAGGTTCGTTACATAGGTATACATGTACCATGGTGGTTTGCTACACCTATCAACCCATCATCTAGGTTTTAAGTCTTGCTTGCATTAGGTATTTGTCTTAATACTCTCCCTCCCCTTGCCCCCCACCCCCAACAGGCCCCAGTATGTGACGTTCCCCTCTCTGTGTCCATGTGTTCTCATTGTGCAACTTCCACGTATGAGTGAGAACATGAAGTGTTTGGTTCTCTGTTCCTGTGTTAGTTTGCTGAGAATGATCGTTTCCAGCTTCGTCCATGTACCTGGACAGGACATGAACTCATTCTTTTTCATAGCTGCATAGTATTACATGGTGTATATGTGACACATTTTCTTTATCCATTCTATCATTTGTGTTGGTTCCAAGTCTTTGCTATTGTGAATAGTGTTGCAATAAATATACGTGTGCATGTGTTTTTATAGTAGAATGATTTATAATCCTTTAGGCATATATCCCAGTAATGGGATTGCTGGGTCAAATGGTATTTCTGGTTCTAGATCTTGAGGAATTGTCACACTGTCTTCCATGACAATGAACTAATTTATACTCCCACCAACAGTGTAAAAGCTTTCCTATTTCTCCACAGCCTCACTAGCATCTGTCATTTCCTGACTTTTTAATGATTGCTACTATAACTGGTGTGAGATGGTATCTCATTGTGGTTTTGATTTGCTTTTCTCTAATGACCAGTGATGATGAACTTTCTTTCACATGTTTGCTGGCTGCATAAATCTCTTCTTTTGAGAAGTGTCTATTCATATCTTTAACCCACTTTTTGATGGTACTGTTTGTTTTTTTCTTGTATATTTAAGTTCTTTGTAGATTCAGATATTAGACCTTTGTCAGATGGACAGATTGCAAAAATTTTCTCCTATTCTTTAGGTTGCCTGTTCACTCTGATGATAGTTTCTTTTGCTGTGCAGAAGCTCCTTAGTTTGATTATATCCCATTTGTCAATTTTGGCTTTTGTTGCAATTGCTTTTGGTGTTTTCATCATGAAGTCTTTATCCATGGCTATGTCCTGAATGGTATGGCCTAGGTTTTCCTCTAGGGTTTTTATGGTTTGGGGTTTTATGTTTAAGACTTTAATCCATCTTGAGTTAATTTTTGTATAAGGTGTAAGGAAGGGGTCCAGTTTCTGTTTTCTGCATATGGCTAGCTAGTTTTCCCTGCACCATTTATTAAATAGGGAATCCTTTCCCCATTGCTTGTTTTTGTCAGGCTTGTTGAAGATCAGATGGTTGTAGATGTGTGGTGTTATTTCTGAGGTCTCTGTTCAGTTCTGGTACCAGTACCATGCTGTTTTGGTTACTGCAGTCTTCTAGTATAGTTGAAGTCAGGTAGCAAGATGCCTCCAGCTTTATTCTTTTTGCTTAGGATTATCTTGGCTATATGGGCTCTTTCTTGGTTCCGTATGAAATTTAAAGTAGTTTTTTTCTAATTTTGCAAAGAAAGTCAATGGTAGCTTCATGGAAATAACATTGAATCTGTAAATTACTTTGGGCAGTATGGCCATGTTCATGATATTGATTCTTCCTATCCACGAGCACGGAACTTTTTTCCATTTGTTTGTGTCCTCTCTTATTTCCTTGAGTAGTGGTTTGTAGTTCTTCTTGAAGAGGTCCTTCACATCCCTCGTAAGTTTTATTCCTAGGTATTTTATTCTCTTTTTAGCATTTGTGAATGGGAGTTCACTCATGATTTGGCTCTCTGTTTATCTTTTATTGGTGTATAGGAATGCTTGTGATTTTTGCACATTGATTTTGTATCCTGAGACTTTGCCAAAATTGCATATCAGCTTAAGGAGTTTTTGGGCTGAGACGATGGAGTTTTCTAAATACACAATCATGTCATCTGCAAACAGAGACAATTTGATTTCCTCTCTTCCTATTTGAATACCTTTTATTTCTTTCTCTTGCCTGATAGCCCTGGTCAGAACTTTCAATGATATGTTAAATAGGAGTGGAGAAAGAGGGCAACCTTGTCTTGTGCTGGTTCTCAAAGGGAATGCTTCCAGCTTTTGCCCATTCAGTAGGATATTGGCTATGCATTTTGAAAGATCATTTTGGCAGGAGTGTGGCACTTAGATTGTGAAGTGGGAGCAAGGAAATGAGACTTGGGTCATGCCTAGCTGGGGTAAATGCTTCCCTAAGGAGCTTTTCCTGTGTCCAGGCAATATTAAATCTCTGCCAGTGATGTGTCACGTACTTCCCATAGCCTATTATCACAGTAAGTAATATACTTTGCTCTTCTATTGAGCTCCAAGTACCAAAAAAGGATTAACTGGGACCAAGGCACTTCTCTCTCTTTGCAATGCCTTGCAAGGAACAATTGCCCAAAAACGTTTGTTGAGTGACTGAAAGAATACACGTCAGACAAACTTTGTTCCACCTCTAGATGACTTTTTCAGCCAGAACTCCATCCCCATCAATGTTAACCAATTTCTTAATACCAAGGTATTGTCTCATATCTTAAACCAAAATAGAGATGCCAGATAAAATAAAAATGCTCAGTTACATTTTAATTTTAGATAAATGTTCAGTAATTTTTAGTATGTCTCATGAAATGTTCAAGATATACTAAAAAATCATTATCTGAAATTAGAATGTACCTGGAGTCCTGCATTTTTATTTGCTAAATCTGGCAATACTAAATCAGGCAAAAGCAGTAATGTTAATTATGTCATTCTGGAAACAGCAGATTTTTATTCCTCCCCTCTGTGACATTTTATTTTACCCACTTAACCCCAGAATTCCTGAGAGTCTCCCTCCTACTTTAGGGCTAGTAATGAATAACCGTGTTTCCAAAACTCAAATCTGGAAACATTATAATACGAGAACTAGAGTACAGGCTATTTCCAAACTCTATCACTTACAAATTTTGTATGAACTTTCTGTGAATGTCAGTTTTGTTGTTTATTAAATTAGATTGATTTTTTTTGTAGGGTTGTGACTGAGATTAGAAATAATACAGTGAAAGCCTCACATGGGCCTAAAATATAGATGACTCATTCAATTAATATTTCCCAGGTGCATACTCTGTGCTAGACAGACACTGAAAATCCTCCCTGTTCTCATGGAATTTAAAGTTTGTGGTAGGGATGCTTATATTATTAATATGGGAAGAAAGATTAGAATCATGGGACCTTTGAAATATTTAGGCAACTTGATTACTATACCCTTGATTTTCCAGTACTCACTCTTGTCTTGTTTTTACATAAATGTGTAAGTGCACACACACATACATGCATTCATACATACACATACATATATCATGGCTGTTAAAGACGCTCAGGGGGCCAGATGTAGAGAAATTAGCCAAGAACCAGCAAAAGCAACAGAAAAGACCACTGAGGACTTGTCAGTGGACACATTTTGGCACCTGACTTCTGATCTGCTTCTCCCCTTAGAGGATGACATTACTCTGTTCCAAGATGTTTTGTGAACACCAATTAGCCCTGCCCTACTCAGGTCCTCCAGCCCAAGGAGCAAGTACAGAGCTATTGCAGCCTGAGTTTGGGGCTTCCAGGACTGGCTTCCAGGTGGCCTCAGCTCCTGGCAGAGGTGGAGGCAGGCAGGAGTGCTGGCAGTGCCTTTCCCGTTACTTCTCAAGCAGCTGCTCTCATTATTGACCTAAGAAGCCAGCCTGCTCTTCTATGCCCTCTGAGGGCTCCCTGCCCAATTTGGACCAAACCTGACCAAGGCAGGGAGCAAGCACCTTAACAGCTTCTGACCTACCAGCTGGTGAGGTCTAAAATGTGTCTTGTCTTAGCCAGATGGATCAGGGAGCCCTGACATTGTTTTGCCCTGGATTGCATTCACAGTGTTCCATCTGTATTTCCGGTCTTCAGACCTTGTTTCCTGATACACACTTCATTTCCACTGCTGAGACCCTGAACACAAGCCACTATTTACTATCTGCCTGTATCCCCTCATCTTTTCTGGGCTCTCAACCCCACCATCCATACGAATAACTGTCTTTTATTGTTAGGTCTTGCATGAAATATTTGTTATTTCCATTTTCAAATCTCACCACAAGCCTTATGAGGTAATTATTTTTTTTCCTATTTGTATATGAGAAGACTAAGGTCCACAGAGATTAATTAACTTGCCAAAATCACAGTGCTAGTTATAGATACTCAGGAATTAGGAACCAAGTCTTTTTAACTCCAAAGCCTAAATCCCTTTCCATTATGCCTAACTCACCTTTGGCTAGGATAAACTTCTCCAAATTATGCAAACCGCTCACATTAACAAAGCTACCACCAGTCTGATGTTGCATGTTGCCAGTAACTAGGATTTTAATTTCTATGCACTGTGCACCAGAAAGAACTATCTTAGTCTTGAGACTGGTTCTATTCTCCAGGCCACTGTAGAAGTGAAATTTTACTTGATGACCTCCTGTATTAGTCCATTTTCACACTGCTGATAAAGACATACCCGAGGCCGGGCGCGGTGGCTCACGCCTGTAATCCCAGCACTTTGGGAGGCCGAGGCGGGTGGATCATGAGGTCAGGAGATCGAGACCATCCTGGCTAACAAGGTGAAACCCCATCTCTACTAAAAATACAAAAAATTAGCCGGGCGCGGTGGCGGGCTCCTGTAGTCCCAGCTACTCGGGAGGCTGAGGCAGGAGAATGGCGTGAACCAGGGAAGCGGAGCTTGCAGTGAGCTGAGATTGCGCCACTGCAGTCCGCAGTCCGGCCTGGGCGACAGAGCGAGACTCCGTCTCAAAAAAAAAAAACAAAAAAAAAAAAAAAAAAAAAAACAAAAAAAACATACCCGAAACTAGGTAACTTATAAAGAAAAAGGTTTAATGGACTCACAGTTCCACAAGGCTGGGGAGGACTCACAATCATGGCGGAAGGTGAAATGTACACCTTACATGGAGGCAGGAAAAAGAGAGAAATGAGAGCCAAGCAAAAGGGGTTTTCCCTTATAAAACCATCAAATTTCATGAGACTTACTCACCACCATGAGAAGAGAGTATGGGGAAACCACTCCCACAATTCAATTATCTCCCACCAGGTCCCTCCCACAACACGTGGACATTATGGGAGCTATAAGTCGAGATGAGATTTGGGTGGGAACACAGCCAAACCAAAACCACCCTTTTTTCTAGTAGTCAGTCCTGTAGCTGAGCCAGTACCTCCAGCTCCAGTCTTTCCTCTTCCCATTCTTAGCTCTGTCCATCCTGACTGCTACTAAGATCCCAGCATATCTGGCAGCAGGGCTTGCCAAGAAAGGTATATTCATGACTCTAAACTGGGGCTGGAGTCTAGGAACTGAGACTTGGACTTGGCTGTGGGACCCAAAGCCAGAGCAAAGAGGAGCAGAAGATGGCTCCCTGAATGACAGTGGGCTGGGGAAATGAAGAATCAGACTGAAGTAAGACTCTGACTCCAACGTGAGGAGCAGAGATGAAAAAACGAGTTGAAGGCCTGAGAACTGCTGTGGGAAAATGAAGGTTGAGACTGCAAATGTAAAGAGGTAGACAAGACAGAGAGAAATTTCTTGTGGCACGGGTACAATTTCACAGAAGGTTTGTGGTTTTTCCTGTTGCCTGTAAAATATGGCTCCATTTGCTTTTTCAAGTACCAAGAAATACAAAGCGGCGAAGGCCACAGAGGAGGTTTTCTTCGAGTCTAAGACAAATTTACCTCTGGAGGGGCAGAGGTGAAGGAATGTGCACAGATTTTAGCTCTCATGTAGCCCAGGTCTTCTGTGGCTGCTGATGCTGTGATCAAATCCCTGAGTAACACTAGCACTTTGCTCAGCAGCCTGCAGCACCAGCCTGCTGCCATCTCCTTGCAAAACAGGTGGGTTCTTGGAAGGGACAGACACAATGTACTATTAGTACTGTTCAGAGGAACATAGAAATTATGCCATGAAAACTTAATTGCCACTTTATTCAGTAATCAGCATTAACATGGAGAATATTTAAAGCTGCAACACATTGTGCGGCAGCCAGGAGTTAGGCAGCAGTGACTTCTGGAAAGCTAGAAAATTAAAACCTATGTAGAACGAGCCTGACTGAACTATTTCAGGCTGTCTTATAACAGGTCTGCGGAAGGCCCATACTATGTGACTGGCCAATCTAAAGGCATATTGAGACCACCCCTTTGACTTCCCTTCTGCAAATTCCCTCAGGTACAATTTGATTGAATTGACCTCAATTAATTCAGTCATGTATTCAAGGACATTGTGATGTATTATTGGGTATGAAAAAGTACAACGATGATTATAATCAGTATATCATGTAATCAGGAAAGAAAACAAGTTTGGTGTGTTTCCTAACCGTTGAACCTTACAGATTTGGCCTTGAGCAAGTATCTTAATTTTTCTGAGCTTCATTTTCTAATCTTTAAAATGGGAATAAGCTTATGGGTCTAGCAAAGATATTGAAAGTATTAAATATAATCCTACATGGCATATTATAATGCTTAGCACAAACTAGACATTTCTTAAATGGTTTTTTACCAAAATGTATGACGTAACAAACAAACAAACAGAAAGCGGTATGTAAGAAAAGCAAAATTAAGATGCTGAAGAAGTTTAGAAGACATCGAAATGGCATTGCTTTGCAAAGGCAAGAAAGACTTAATGGAAGAGGTTATAGAAGGACAAGTAGACACTTTACAGGTGAGAAATTTTGAAAATCATAGCAGATGCTTACGAATTAGCAGATGAATAAATAGATCAAAGCATGAAGGTTGGGGATTGTATTTCAGGCAGAAGAAACTAGTAACAAAGGCACAAGATGACAATGTGAGATTTGATAAAGGAATAGAAAAAGGATTCGTTTGTCTAGAAAATAAAAAATAATTGAGAGAGAAGTGCAGGAAGTCAGAATAAACAGATTGGTCACATGTAATATGAACGTGAATGTCAATCCAACTTGCTGATTACTTAGTGCCACAGGGAGTGGAGGAGCCATTGAAAACTTCCAAGCAAAGTGAAGTATATTTGGAGGTGTCAGTGGCGTGGAGGAGAGATTTGTGTGAAGGAAGATGAGAGGTGGGTATATTGGTAGGGGGCTGTTATCCCAATTGAGACAAGAGATAATGAGGCCTGAATTAGGATGCTAACAGTGAGGACAGAGGAAAGCAGACAATGTAAGAGGCATTGTGGAGTGGAACCCACAGGAATTGGTAAGGAGCCGGATATAGGGAGCCAGGCATGCTCTGTTTGAGAGTACTATGAATGCCTCATATGTTAATAGCAAGTAACCTAATTGCCTGAAAGTGGTGAGAGAATCACACACAGAGAGAGAGAGGGGGGTGGGGTGGGGAGGAGGGGAGAGATTGAAAGAGAGCACAGACTGTTATGAGGAGACTGGTAACAAAATCAGAAAGAGATCCCCACTGACCTTTAGAATTTAGCACTTTTGTGGCTAGGTCAGGCTATTCCCTTGGCTGGCTTGTTCATAGCCATTCTGGCTATACCTTCCTGGGCAATTTGCATTGCTAACTGGCAAATGCAGATTTGAAGAAGTTGAATTTGACTGTGTGCAACCCACATCTCCTAGAAGCCAGGTTTGGACCACTGAGCATTTGCCCTGTTACACATAACTTCTCTCTAAGGCCTCACAATCAACACAGACCATTCAGTCAATCCAAATGTGTAGACTACTCCCTCTAGAAAGGACAGAAGGGCCCACCCACCAAGTCTCATTCACAGCCTCCTAAGTGGAATGTTCAAGATAAGCAACTAGAAAATGAGAAATAAATATTAAAACTTTTAATTTTTAATGCAAAAAGAATTAAAGAGAAAAAATGCTAATAGAATAAGAGATGCTAATAATAAGAGAAATAAAAAGAGAATAAGAGAAATGCTAATAGAATGAGACCAGCCTCTTGACTCGAGTCTGTGTGTTGTTAAAAGTAGTACATACTGGAGATTAGGACTTCATAGGTGGAAAGGTAGGCTATGGTGCCTGCACTTGAGGATTGCTTTTGGGATATTGCCACAAATTATCCTTTACACAAGGTAGGTGTACAGAGTAGACTATCTGGTATTAAACAAAGGAATCCTCACAAGAATACATGTTTGGCTTATATGATACTCACTGAGGAATTGCACAGGTGAAGATCATATAAATAATTTATGTAGTATTCAACTACAAGAAAATGGTACAACTAAGACTTCTCCCTCCTATCCCTTGTATGAAGCCTTCATTAACCACATCAAAATTTAAAAATTGACACTCAAATCAGATTTGACAACCATTTGGTCAAAATTATTAAAATTATTAAGAAAACTATTTGCATGCACTGTAATTAGCTATTATGATTTTCCTGGATGTACATTGTGCACGTATTTTATAAGTACACCTATATTGTATGTGCCTGCTCATTTTTATGTATGTGAGGATATGGATCTAAATATATGTATATATATGTACATGTGTATTTATTTTATGGAAAAAGGTGTAGATCATAGCTGTCAATAATTTGACAACTCTGAGGCACTGTAACTATTTCAAAATACTAAGATTGAATTTTCTGGAGGGAAGACATTTTTGGGTGAAAAATGGAGGTATGGGAATGACCTGGGTGGAGTGGACAAATGGAAAGAGGATATTTTTATTATTAATAGGAGGAGGAAAACATACACAGAGGGAGGCTGGGAGCATTGAAACCAACTAAATCTCCTTTCCTGATTTTACCAAGAACCCTAAGTGGCAAGGGTGGGATGACTCATTTGCTGGAGCTGAATCTTCTTAGCAAAGCTGCCCCTTGGCTAAAGAGCTACTGGCATTTCTCATGATCTAATGGTATCAAGGGCTTGGAAGGGAGCCCTTTAGTGGATGCCATTTCATACAGCATCTTATGCTTTTCTCTTCTCCTCCCACCACCCAGAAGCTGTTGCGATGGGCACATTTTTAGAATATTTAAAAATAAATTACAGTTAGTGGTAAAACACATAAGCCAGAGAAATGCTGGGCAAGTGTGTGCTTCAAGCTACACAGCCCAAGGCTGCTGAGTATAAAAATACTCTATGTCTCCCATTTGGCTAAGTGGGGCTTTAGCAACTGGTAATTTCTGCATGTCATAGTCACTGCTAATTGTTGAATTAGAACATCTGTCAAAAATGGGAATATTTTCTTTAGAACACAGAGCAGGAGAAATTAATGCTGCTCTAGTACAAGGCACATCACAACTGTGCCCACTGCTGAATGCAAATACTTCCTTATCCTGGTGATTTCTTACAAAAGGGAAGCTTCCTAGCTGCCTTCTGAACCACCCTCAGTTAGAAGCCAGGCAGGGCATTTGCAGACTCTGCATATCCCGAGGACAAGGGCAACTTGCAAGTGTCTGAAAAGAGTCAAAAACTGGACAGCGTATGATTTAATAAGATGCCTCTCTCCAACCAAGGATGTAGAAACTGTTCTGGTTTAGACTTGTTCCAGGAAACATGAGTCCTATTTATAGCTTAACTCTGCTGAGTGAGAGGATATTTGTGTATGTGGCTTTGAGAAAGTCTCATAACCTCTCTGTGTCCCTGTTTTACTATCTGTAAAACGAAAGAACTGGACTAAACCAATGGTTTCCAAACTGTGAGGTCTTTAGAAGGCTAAAATTTCCTCATAACTATCTTGGGTGAGGTGCCTTATCTCTGAGGTGGTGGGATGAACAGGGGCTAGCTCCTCCCCTCCATTGTGATAAGTTCAGTTCTCCTTTTATTTATTTTATATATTGGAGTTCAGTGTTCAACTAGGACAGAGGAATAATTTGACAGCTAAAACATTTAGAAGGTCACAAGGGTCCCTAAAGAGATCTGCTATGATAAATCAAAGAGGTCCATGCAAAAGCTGGATCACTTAGCATGTTCCATATGTGACCAGACAAGAGCGACAGCATTTCCAAACACACTAGCCTGCTTACAGTTCTCAATCCCAGCTCTGCCAACGCCCTCAGCTCAACACCTTCCAGTCTCCCTGCCACAAATTCCTTCCCTACCCCTTCAATCTGTGTTTCTTTTTCCCAACTAAAATTGCAAATGCCACAGGAAGCCATCCAGGCTACCCTATCCCATCTCTCACATCTGAGGACTTAAACCACTAATATGGACCTCTCATTTACTCCCAGACCACCTTAGACGACTACCTTTAAGTCATGTGCCCCTACCAAGAGTGAAAACTTCTTAAAGGATGGGGTCAGCATTATTCACTTTTGAATAATATCCCAGCATAGCCTAGTACTATAACTGGTACATGGCAAGATTCATGAGATTTTGGTATTTGAGTGACTGAGTAATTTCACTGAGTAATCAGACTTATAGGAGTAAAAACCAAATGAAATATCTGGTACCTTATGCGATCCAGAACCAAACCTAATTCTTTCAGCATTTACATACACAAAATATTCATCTACCCATCCATCCATTCATCCAACCATTCAACATCCATCCATCCATCCATCCATCCTTCCATCCAACCATGTATCTATCCATCATCCATCCAGAAAAGTATTTATTGATCTTGGATTCACCTTAGACTTGCTTTTTTCCTTTTCTATTGCCGTATTTAATGAGTAACCAGATCATGCCAATATGAACCTCTCCTTCCATATACGTATATGTAAGAAATCCATTCCTGCCTCTTCATCCCTCCTACCACTATCCTAGTTGAGATCTGGTCATCAGGCTGCAATTACCATATTAGTCTCTTAACTTTCCTTCTCCAGTCTGGCTCTTCCCAAATTTATCTTTCATGCTGCCTCCAGATTGACCCTAATAAAATATAAATATGAACATGTCATCTCCCTGTTCATTTGTTTTCCATCACCTATAAATACAGATCAAAAACATGCTGCCTGTAGTAGGGCATGCGTCTAAGTCTGTTGGGCTGCTATAACAAAAGTACCATAAACTGTGTAGTTTATAAACAACAGAAATTTATATCTCACAATCCTAGAAGCTGAGAAGTCCAAAATTAAGCTGCCAACAGGCTCAGTGTCTGATGACAGCCTACTTCCTTGTTCATAGACAGTGCCTTCTCACTGTGTCCTCACATGGCAGAAGGGGCGAGAGGTCTCATTCAGGACTCTTGTATGGGGGCACTAATCTCATTTATGAAGGTTCTGCCCTCATGACCCAATCTCCTCTCAAAGGCTCTCTACCTTCTAATACCATCACTTTGGAGTTAATATTTTAACATGTGAATTTTGCAGGGAAATAAATATTCAGACCATAGCCGCACAGAACACTCAACATAACCTGGCCTTTGTCTAATTTTCTAGCCTCATTGTTTGACCCTACCTGACATGTCCTATATTTACCAATACTGAACTGCTTTTTGCTCCCCAGTAAAAACCATACTGTTGGATGCTGTTACAGTTTTGCTCATTCTCTTGCCTCTACCTGCTGTAATTTGACTCCCTCATTCCACTTTCCTTAGGCAACTAACTCCTCCCCATCTTTCAAAAAGCAACTTTGGACTTTCTTTATCCAATTCGTCTTTTCATAACCTCATGTCTTGGTGACACAGATGAGACAGATGGCTCCTCAACTACTGTTATATACTGAGCATAAATCTAACTTAATGTTTGCTGAAACAAAATAAATACAAATATACATATAAAATACATAAATATGTAACATACATACATAAAACTATATATGTAAAATATAAGTAAATTTAAAGCTCTGTTAAATATAATATTTCTGTAGGGTTTTACAGGTGAGAAAGAACATTCATATCCATCATCTCCTTTGAGCCTCAAAATATTTTGTGATGTAGTAATGAGTGAGACCATTTGTTGAGATGTTCCTGAATGGTAAGTGATCAAATGACTTTTCAAAAATTATGAAGGAAGTAAGTGGCACACAGGAGTTCAAAGTTTAAAAGGAATGATCCTAGTACAGTGCATATCACTATGTGTGGTACACACAAGTGCTCAGGGACTGTTAGCTGTCACTATCATCATTACTCAGGTCTTAGTATTCCACAATTCTCTCCCCTTCAACACACACACACTGATACTAACACAGTCAGTCAGCACCCCACCTGGCTTGTTTAAGAAGGAACGACTATTCCAGTCCTCCACAGAACAGACTCATGGCCCAGAATTGCCTCAAAACCAAACCTGCAATTAGAAGCAAGGGTAGGAGGTGATTATTTTAAGGCCACACACTCCTATCCTAATTTCCTTAGGGGACATTGGAGCTTTCTTATGGATATGCTATTCTGTTGATCTTTGTTCTGGTATTCTAGAACAGGCTTGGTTTTTCACCCCTCTTTTCATTTCTTTATAATTGGCTTGGAATTACACCTGGAAAGGAAAAATTTAGAGTGTGTGTTTATAGCGTACGGCTTTGAATTAGGTGTGTGTGTCTGTGTTCTTGAAAAGTAATGTGCATCAAATTCTGGTAAATAAAATCCTATTTTAAATGCCTAAAGAAGGTCCATGTTTAAAAAACTCCTCTGGGAACTTATTTTGTGAAGTGAAAATTCACTCCCTCCTTCCCAATCTGTCAGTATATTTGGATTTTCAGATAAATTTCTTCATTGATGTGTTCTAAATATACATGTTTAAAAATAAACATTTATAGATTGCTTAACATGTATCAAGCATTTGTTAGTGCCGAGCATATGGCACCTCAAGGAGCTTATATTCTACTGGGGAAGAGACAGTAAACTGTAATTGTACAAGTAATCAATCAATTAATTACAAGTGGGTATGTGCAACAGAAGAAAGTACCAGGTGCTCAGGCAGTTTGTAACAGGGAAATCTATCCTAGGTAAGGGTCTCAGGGAAGGCAAGAAGCTGTGGTGCACATGGAGAGGTGCTAGGGTAGCTTTGAGGCTGGAAGTGTGCATAAGTCAGATCGTGGCTTGGGCAAGACCCGTAATGAAATGATGTCCCGATTTTATAATCCAGACCTTCCCACATGAGAAGAGGCAGTCCTTGACACTTAGCTATGTCTCCAGCTCTTTTGTCCTCCACTTACAGCGCCTGACTAATGCAGTCCTGGGAAAAGGTCCAAGGCAAATCTCACCGTCCCAGACAGTTCTATTATTTAAGCCTTTAGCCAACACCAGCATTCTTTGAAAGTGGCATATGGGTTGCTATTAATCTTTTCCAATATTTAAATTAAAATCCATTCTTTTGAATCCAGGCAAAAAACATGATCAAAATTAATAAGTTGATTTCTTGAAAATCTGCCACCTTTAAAGGCCAATTGTCTAGATCCTATAGTATACTTAGGGTTAAAATTTTTTTGCGAGCTAAATATCAGGACTCATAAACTGGCACAAGATTGATTTATTTATATATTTGCTAATTTTTTCAGTTAAGGGGAGAGAAAAAGTAGCTTTTGTTGAATGACCATCATGGCAGATACTGTCTGTGGGCTCCCCAAGATCTTCCTCACTGTACCGCCTCCTTCGTCTTATCTGATAGAACCCTAATTGCTTTAGAAATCTGGTCAAGATTCCCTTTTTGCATATAGGCCAGATCCTTCCTTGTTCCAGCCCAAGTGATGAATCATGGTAATTTTATTACCCTTGGCCATTGACTGATTTACAGGGATCATGTGACCCAGTTGTGGCTAATGATGATCTGTACAAGAGTACTCTGCTGAAGAAGAATTCTACTTATGAATGCAAAGCACAAGTCTCCTGAAGAGAGGACTTTTTAATTCTCTTTTTGCTTCACCTTCTTGGAACTGAAGTGTGATGTTGTTCAAGTCATCTTGTGATCATGATATAACATTAGGATGAAAGATAATGTTCCAGGCTGGTAGAAATAAAAGAGTTTAAGTTTCTGTCGTTATTACTGTGTAGCTGATCCCATGCCAACAACTATCTTCCCTGGAAATTTTATTATCAGAGCCTCATTTGCTATGGCCTGAATGTTTGTGTCTCCCTAAATTTGTACATTGAAATCCTACCCCTCAATGTAATGGCATTAGGAGGTGGGGTCTTCTGGGAGATGATTATGACATGGGCAGAGAGCCCTCATGAATGGGATTAGTCCCTTATAAAAAGAGGCCCTGGAGAGTTGCCTTGCTTCTTCTACCATGTAAGGACACAGCAGGAGGTGCCACCTGTGAGCCAAGAAATGGGTTCTCACCAGACATTGAATCTGCCAGTGACTTAGTCTTGGACTTTCCAGGCTTTAGAACTGTAAGAAATAAATTTCTGTTGTTTATAAGCTATAAATTACCCAGTCTATAGTATTTTGTTATTGTAGCCTGAACAAACTAAGACACTATTTGTTTAAGCCACCTGGTTTCCTGTTATTTGCTGCTGAAAACATTTTTAAATGGCACTTCTACTAATTGCCAGCTATGTTACATGTTATTAGATCCTTTCAACATTTAATCCTCACAATAACCATTATCTTTATTTTACAGATTGAAAATGAGTTTTGAAGAAACTGCCCAAGTTTAAACAACTAGAGAATGATGGTAGAGACATTTGAACCCAATCTTCATTGTATGAATTCAAAATCCAAGCCCTTTCCATTCTAAGATTCTGTTTTATGACAGTAAAGTCAAACTAGTTTCAATTATATAGTTATAAATTACACATGTCATGAATCCTTAAATTTTATGGAACCAGAATTATCCTGAAAAATATATGATTTCATTAATATGATAAAGAAAAGCTCTTGCTTCACAGAAAAATAAAATAATTTAATAAAAAGAATCCAGAATATGACTCCCAACAATGTGCTGGACTTGGGTGATTTGGACCTACATGACTAGTTGGGGGTAATAATGACTCCAACTTGATCAATGTATTGTATAATTTTAATTCTATCAGCCCTGTGCTGAGTACACCCTTTATAGAAAGCAATTTTTTTAACAACCCTATAAGTAGGCATTATAATTACATCCATTTTGCTGATAAGAAAACTGAGACTTAGTGGTCCTAAAATAATTTGCTCAAGGTCACACAAATTTATTGGGTGTATTGAATTTTAAGCCTGAATCCACAGTGCCTGCTCACATCCTGAATCCACAGTGCCTGCTCCCATCCTCTGTGTTCTGTACAGTTCCACACACACAATCACCCTCCCTCTGAGCAGCCTTAGTTAAGCAATCCCAGATACACTATTTCCTTAGAATGCATCTTGGCATTCATCAGTGCTAATGTTGGCAGGAAACGTGATAAGCTGCATAGACATTACATGACATAGTGAAAAAGCAGAGCCTTTGGAATCAGAAGGATTTGGGTTTGAGCCCTGATGCTGCCATTAGCTATATGACAATGAGGTAGACATTTATGCTGGGCCTCAGTTCCCCCATCTAGACACAAGGGATAATGATGTTACAATGCAGAATTATTTTGAGGGTCTAAAAAGGTGATACAATTAAAGTATTCTCTCTTCCCATGTTCTCCGCAAGTGCTATAGCCACTGCATTATTTCAGCAGCACCAAAATATGGAAACCATTTGCCTTTGTGTGTTCAAGCTGTTACATACCATAGACTGGATGACTTATAAACAACAGAAATTTATTTTTTACAGTTCTGGAAACCGAGAAGTCCAAGAGTCGGGTGCCAGCAGGGTCAGGCTCTTCTAAGGGTTGTCCTTACGTAATGAAACAGTCAAATGAGCTCCCTTGGGACTATTTTATAAGGTCACTGATTCCATTCACAAGGGCTCTACCATCATGACCTAATCACCTCCCAAAAGACTCCACCTCCTAATACTATCAATCACATTAAAAACTAGGTTTCAACATAGGAGGTTTGGGGGGACAGAAATATTCAGACTGAAACAATCTACCTTGGCCCAAATTTTATATCCTTCTCACATGAAAATTATGTTCATTCTATCTCATTAGACCCGAAAGTCTTAACTCTGTCCAGGGTTGACTCAAAATTCTGAAGTCAACAGACTCATCTAAATATCTTCTATATCAGTTATGGTTGAGATTCAAGGTACAATTCATTCTGAGGCAAATTTATCTCCATTGTGAGCCTGTGAAATCATACAAATTATGCACTTCAAAAATACAATAGTGAGACAGGCATAGGACAGACATTTCTATTCTGGAACAGAGAGATTGTAAAGAAGAAAGAAGTAACAGGTCACAGCTAAGTCCAAAACCCAACACAGCAAACACAATTAAATCTTAAGGCTCAAAAATAATGTTTTTTGACTCAATATTTCACCTTCTGGACACATTGGGGTGGGGGTTGGGCCCCCAAGACTCTGAGCCCACTGCTGAGGATTGATGAGCTGAAATACAGGGAGAGAAGCCTTGAAATTGCTCTCAAGATCTTTATACTCTGGGTTTGTGATGGGAGGGGTTAGCTCCAACTATCTCCAAAAAGCCTTTGGAACCATTCTTCCATTGTCCCAAGGAAAAGCAAGTGCGTTCCTCTGAATCATACAAATCTCCTTGTCAAACAGTTGCTTGGACACCTTTTGTCTTCTCTTCTAAGCACATTTTCTTATTTCCTTCAATATTAATAGGCTAAGAATTTTCCAAATTTTTCTAAGTTGCATTTCTCTTTTGATTAAAAATACCATCTCTAAATCATTTCTCTCTTATTGTATTTTACCATAAACATTGGATAGAGGCTGAATGGCACCTTCAACACTTTTCTTAGAAATTTCTTCTACCAAATATCATGTTTTATGGCTCACAAGTTCCATCTTTACAAAACACTAGGATACAAACTGAATTCACCCAAATTCTTTGCTTCCTTATAACAAGGATCACTTTTTTCCAGTCTCCAGTAATATTTCTAATTTCCATCTGAGATTTCATCAGAATGGCCTTTATCATCCATATTTCTATCAACATTCTGTTCATGACCAGGTAGGTAATCCCGAAGCAGGTTGATGCTTTTTCTCTACAGCTCTCTTTTTCTTCTAACCCTCACCAGAGTGACTCCTTTTGGTCTATTGACAACAATGTAGACTTCTTCTAGAAAGCACTTAAAAACTCTTTCAGCCTCTACCCATTACACAATTTCAAAGCCATTTCCACATTTTATAGGAACACCCTGTTTCTTGATATCAATTCCTATTTTAGTGCACTCAGGCTGATATAACAAAATACCACAAACTTTGTAGCTTATAAACAATAAAAATTTGTTTTCACAGTTCTAAAGACTGGGAAACCCAATGTCAGTGTGCCAACATGGCCAGGTTCTTGTGAAGGCCATTTTCTAGGTTGCAGACTATTGACTTCTCACTGTATCCTCACATTGTGGAAGAGGCAAATGAGCCCCCTTGAACCTATTTTATAAGGGCACTAACTGTAGCTCCAGTAGCACAATCGGTTAGTGCATAGTTCTTATAAGGGCACTAATCCCATTCATGAGGGCTCCAACTTTATGACCTAATCATCTCCTGTAAAACCTCACTTCTTAATAGTATAACACTGGAATCTAGGTTTCAGTGTAGAAATTTAGGGGGGATACAAACATCCAGACCATAGTACTTTTCTCAGACATTTAAGGATCAAATAGCTTTTTCAATCCTGGAATTAGTTTGCATTTCTCCCTGAGGGTAGTTCAGTCAACTAAATTTTTTACAGTTTTTGCTGCCAGTTTGTTAGAGGATCATTAGTGTTTATTTTGAATATATTTTTTTGTGGGGTACATACGTTTATTTTGAACAATCAGACAAATAAAAATGGTGATGATGAATGAGTAGTGGGTGCTAAGGATAGGCTACCCCCCCTGGTTGTCCATAGCTTTGTGCATTGCCAACTGACCCTGGTTGAATACATCAAATAGGGGCATATGTAGGTGTCTTGGTGGCCTAAATCCATATTTTTTAAATGCCTGACAATGAGTTGACTGCAAAGAATCACCTAGGAACTTGTGAAGGTACAAATTCTAGGTATCCCACTGAAATTTTGATTTAGTAGTTCTATATTTAGACATCTTACTATTGAGAAGCATTTTATATGATTTATTATCCAAACATACTTTGGAAATAATGGCTTAAATTATGACATTGCTTTTATTTTGCCCCCACTTCATCCTTGTTCTGGTGGGTGCATTTATATATATATATATATATATAGTATGTATGTCTTTATATATCATTCTCTTATTTTTGTCCAACACTTTCTCTAGAAACACACTAGAAAGTCTGTATAAGGAGAGCAAATAGCATTACATGAATGAAAGCATTTACAAAATATCAGGGGATCAATAAGACAAATGCCAACTGGACCAGCAAATCTACTAATTACCCAATGTTTCCAATAAACAAATGACCCCTGGACGCAGTATCTAGCTAAAAGGGCTACACATTGCTTGTCTTCCCCAAAGCCCTTAGGAGTAATTGTATATAACCTTTTCACTAGCAGACAGCTGTTTATCTCTCGCTTGGGTTTTCTCCATGAAAACATTATTCCAGAGTCACTGCTACACAAAGGATTTTTCACCTTGGCAACCAGAAGGAGCACGAGCTATGATGGAACTACAAAGAACCCCCATTTCAGAAAATCCCATAAAATCCCTCAAATCCTTAACCTCTTCTTTTACACTAATTTCATTGTGGTCAAATTCCATTTTGCTGCAGAACCTTTTCTGAAATGGATTATCACAAGGTTTCCCAGCAGATACAAAATAAAAGCATAGCTGCTCTACTTGCAGCAATGAGTCGGGGGCAAAAAGCCTGCCTTTTCCCCTCAAGGCACCTCCACAGATATACAGCCATGATAATTTTTTCCATTATTTCACAGTATAGAAACAACTGTCGTGGGCCCATCAGTCTCAACCTGTCTTTACTTCTTTCCTACAAAAATAAAACCACATGTCCAACAACATTGTCACCAGCATCCATTATCTTCTGATTCTGCGACAGTCTTAAGCAAGGATACATTGATACATCCTATTTATCCACTTTTCTTCTCATGTTTCCAAGCCTTGGTAGCAACATTGTGCAGAGGTATTAATTTTATCCCATTAAAAATTTATAACTTCCCATATCTCTGGGCTTTCAGGACAATTTGCAACCTTCCCCCTGAGCCTTAATTAATACCCTTTTCTTGTCCCTTTAATGATGAATCCAACTTTTGTCATACTTCCAAGGCCCTGCATTAACAAGTCCTCCAAGTCAGTGGCTCTTGAAGTGTGATCCCCAGATCAGCAGCATCAACATTATGTCTTCAAAAGCATCCTCAGGCTTTACCCCAGACCTAGTGAGTCAGAAGTCTGGTGAGGGGGCTTCACAATTCCCCACTCTGTGGGGATTCTGGTGTGCACTGAAGTTTGAGTACCACTGCCCCAAATCACTCTCGGCACATGTCTGTCATATCTCACTAAGAAAGAGATGCTCCCTCAGCGCTGTGAGCTGACCTTGTCATGTGCTTATCAACACAGATTTGAGTTTTCCATTTACATTTGGTCTTTCTTCCTGGATTCTGACAGTATCTTATTTACCTTCATCCCCATATTCCCAGGTCCCAGCACAGTGCTTAGCATATATTTCTACTTAATAGATATGTTTGAATAAATTAAATAGATTTGTGGCCATTAATAGTTGCTATCCTCTCAGATCTCAGTTTTCTCTTCTATTATATGGAGATCATTCAATAATTGACCTTTTTGCCTTCAAGTATTGTAGTAACAATCAAGGTTAGTAATAAAATGAATATTAAAAATCTTCTGAGTAGCTAAAAGTACCACATAAATGGAGATATCACTGTTCTTCTCTACCACACTCTAAGAAGAAAACACAAACACTGTTTTTTTAAAACTGAAAAGGCAATCGAATAAAATTTGAAGTCATGTGGGTCAGACTTCTTCCCTTTTTATTTTCAAAATCATATTTTCCATCTACCTGAAAATTCAAGAAAGTATGTGGACTCATTTCTGGAGTTTCATAGCTCAGATAAAGATTACAATGCTGCAATTATTTCTCAGTGAGCACAAAGTACAGTATTTTTTCATCAAAATGAACCACCATGTAAACGTTTGATGAAAAGAGAACTGCAAACTAGTCTCCCTTTGAAACTTTAAGAACGCACACACATTAAAAACACACACCCTAGGACTTTAGGTCACACTTTGAGGCTAGGGATAAAGACAGAAGCTGATCCTGAGTAGGAGGAGAAACTCCGGAATTTCCTATTGGCTTGTGCAGAGAGGGAGGACCCCCACAAAATGACCTGCTGCTGCCTCCAGAGCAGCCATGTCAAAGCGTTGCCAGAGCAGTCCCTCACACAGCTACGCTCTCTAAATAGTTCTGCTGTTGCTAACAACTCTGGTGAAATGAGAAGGTATGCTGCATTCCCTAATTCAGTTCAATTCTCTAAGTATTGATTGAGCTCCTAAGATGTGCTCAGCCAAGGCTGACCTATCTTGAAGCTAGGGAAGCTAATTGCTATGCTTCAACTAGAAATAGGAAAGTTTCTGTGTCCTAAATAGTCACCACCCCATTCTCCTCTTGACCAATATCACCTACCACTCTTCTCTGTCTTTCTGGCTATAAAGCAGCATTTTCAAAGATGTATTTGATAAACAGATCTCAGAGATGCTCTAAAAATTTCACTTTCATGGTCCAGTTTGGGAAATAATGCAGCCTATACCTACTCTTGAAGATTCTTATGTTTACTAACGGTAAGACTCCCAGAATGCCTGAAATAATGGGATCTGTTTAACTTTAGTGTAGTTTTCCATTTTATTTTCCTGTAGAACTCTTCCTTCCCCCTTATTTTTCCCTTTTCTTATTTCTAGGTAATGTACCATAGTATGCACTTCAAAACAGCTAGGCAGGGGGAAGTCCAGTTGTGTATCCAGGCAGAATTGAATCGAATCTTCCTTCCATCTCAGCCATCTATTAACTTGGAATGTAGGTAAGTTCC